>NW_025791761.1:300000-535251 GCF_000001405.40 Homo sapiens | reverse complement strand
GAATTCCCGCCGCCGGCCCCGAGACTCCGGGATGGGAAGGGCAGAAAAGAGAGAGAATGGATCCCAGGCCTCACCAGCCCTGCTGCAATGTGGGACCGTTTAGGAGGCTTCCCCTAGGCCTTCTTTCAGGATCACTTGTGAAAATTGTGAATATCCGCCCTGTGTAACGATCCCAGACTGATGGAGCGAATTTGGGAGAAATACCGGTTTGGTGGAGGCGGAGAGAGCGGGGGAAGACTGGAACTTTGTTTACAAACAGTTCAGTGGTAGAAGACGAGGGGCAGAAGAGGCGGGTGCAAAGAGAAGCTCTGAAGTGGTCCCCTCCGCCCAAGAGAACAATGTCCGGGAGCAAGAAGCCCCGTCCCCTCTCAAAAAGTCGTTCTTACGGGCAGTAAAACTCGAGTGCAACTCCCCCACTCCTGGCGTCCCCCGAACTCGCTCAAAAGTCAAAAGCCCGCTCCTTTCCCTCCATGGAACAGCGACCACCAGTGGCTTTAACCTGTTTAGGGTCGGAGACTCCTTTGAGAATTAAGCTACAGATCCTCTCCTCCTCCAAAAATACAGATAGGTCCTTTCCCTTCGAATTCAACTTTGGGGTCCAGGAATCCTAGAAGCTGTAGGATGGGGCGCTATCCTGGGGGCCGCGTTACTTCCAGCCTTGGCGCTAGGGCACTAGGTCCTGCGGGGACTGGCGGCCTCTAGCAGGATCCTAACACCCAAAGCAGCCCCAGGGAAGCCTCCCCCGGCCGACCTTTCCCTTCCCTCCCCACCCAGGATCTGCCAGGCACGCCGCCGCCAGCCCACACCACCCCCGCCCCCACACACACCAGTGAAGGCGGATGCTGAGGCCCCACATCCCTTCGATCTCCCTTCCCCCCCCGCGGGAGTTCCCCTCGCGGGGACGGGTTTGGCAGTGATTGCCGCATTACAAGATGTTACATTCCGCCCTGCGGCCTGATGCTGGGCGGGGCGGGGAGACTGTGTTTCAGGAAAAGAAAGTGCAGGCAGGTCTTGGAGGAGCAGCTCGGCGCCTCCACGCCAAGAACGCAGACAGCCTCCAGACAGACCTTTCTTCCCTCGGCCTCTCCGGCTCCCCCACTAGTCCTCCCGGGCCAGAGCGCACAAGCTGCAGTGTCCCGGCAGTTTGCGGGCTGCGTGGCAGCGCTCCGAAAGAGGCCCTTTTGGGGAGGGTCCCCAGTCGAGTCGGGTCCCGGGCTAGGAGATGGGGGCCGAGGGTCGGGTGCCGAGTGGGAGAAGGTGCAGAACCGGCCCACGAGGCGGGTCGGGGGTGCTGGGCAGAGGATTACAACTTCGGGGCAGGAGAAGCGAGGGCGAAAGGACTGGACTTGGAGCACGCTCGGGTGACCCCGGGGGACAGACTGGGGCCCGCACGGAGCAAACGTGGCAGGCTGCCCACGCTGCCGCTTCTCCGTCCCGATTGTGGTCCAGGAGTCTCGGACACCCGGGAGGTGAAATCATCGCACCCGGAACAATGGGGACTTCTGGCCGGAGAACCGGACTGAGGCACTGCAGCTCCGAGCGGTGGCCGCGCTCCAGTCGGCTTCTCCCGCCGGGCGCCACCGCGCTCCCCGCTCGGGGGGCAGCCCCCGCCCCGCCCCCTCCCTCCGCGGGTCTGGCCTCGGCTTCTTAAAGTCGCAGGGTGTCTCGGTTCCCGAGAGAAGCGCCGCCCAAGTGGGAAGTGAATGTTTGGGAGGTGGGGGGACGCTATCTCCAGGCGGTAGAGACAAAAGAAGAGCCTAGGCGGTCGCGGGGCGGGACAGTCCGACCCTCCGCTCCTACCTTCCACGTCCCACCTTCCCAAAACTGCCCTGGGCATCTCCCGAGATGCTCCCCGCCTGGCACCGACAGCACAGTCAGCCAGCTCCCCCATCATCCCGCCCCCCCGCCCCCTGGGCCCGGTCTGCCCATCCCGGGGCCCGGCCCGGCTGCACTGTGGAGGGGTTTGCCAGAATCCGGGAATGGGGCCGAAGGAAGGAGGAGGGGGGAACAGGAAAGAAAAAGAAAGGAGGAGGTGGCAGGAGGGGGTATCCGGTTCAGTCACTTTCTCAGTTGCTGCTTTTAGGGTGGGGAGCCCCTCGGGGCCTCCCGGGCATTCAACTGGGGAGAGCAGGTACGCGGGGAAAAGGATTCTCTCCTCGGCACGTTCACGGGAGGACAGTGAAAATTTGCCTTGGGTGGCCAATTTCCTCATTCGCCCCTATTAAAAGAAAAAGCCCAAGAAATTCAATTAAAGCCACCCTGGCCAATGCTCTATTTGAGGCATGAATGTCTCCCCTAAAGCTGCAGCAATCATGTGGCATTAGACACTTCCGGAATCCTATAGCCAACCTGAAAAATCCCAGACCCCCTTTTTCCCTAATTTTTGCTCTGATCTGTAATTTTATCCACATTTGCACTAGTTTGAGCATTCTGGCTCTCCCATCTGAAAGCCTGCAATTACTATATAATTCTTCGCAATTTCAGATGTCCTAATATGGACTGTAATTTTTGCGCAAGACAATTTCCTGCTATTTCAAGCATCAACATTGTCAAAGTTGTATGTACATAATAAATGGGAATATCAATGCATAGTTTTTAGCATAACATCTTGACTCCTCGATAATTATATCCGTTCGGAGCCTACGCAGAATTAGCCTGAATTGCATGGTAACTGCTGCTGCTTTAAAATTTTTAAAAATTACTCATAATTTTCCCAAAGATTACCAAGATCTCGAGTGCACAATGTCATCAGCGTAATGAAGAGTAAACATTTATGCTAATAATCTGCAATTTTTTTCATCAGCTATAAAGACAGAGGCTATATAGCCGAAAATTTCAGTCCTATTCTGCAAGCGCAGCGCTGCAAAAAGCCTGCGGCGCTCTGAGGCGCCTGGTCCTGGGGACCTCTTTCCACTCTTTACTCTCAAGATAGGAGGATGGGTCTGGGGGATTGTTTTTGGTTTTCTGGTTTTGTTTTACTCTGGTTTGGTCGGTTTTGTATTTTTCTATTTTTCCTTTTTTTCCCTTTTTTCTTTTTTGATTTTTCTTTCCCGTTATTCTCCCAGCCAAAAGCTACCTTCGACCCTTTTGATTTGATGTAGCAAAGAGTGTGTGTCCAGATTATCTGAAATTGACACTGAAGAAGGTAAGGGTGGAAACCGGTTTCATTTTTCAGAGGGTTGGAAGGCTGCGCTGCGCCCGCCGCCGTGGCTCCCGCTCCGGGAGTAGGAGGGTGGGGGAGTGATTATGTATGCACCAGCTAATTCTTCCATCAAAACTTCTTGTCAGCGATGTCAGGATTATTTTTTTCCTTTTTATAAAAACACTTGATGTTTCAGGAAGTGTTAATCCTCGAAGATTGGGGGATGAGGGAGGGGGTAGGAAAGCGGTGGGTGGGGGTGACATGTTTCTTGAGCCTGGGGAAGGCACTTTTTACAGCCGTTTGTCTGTCTACGCTGGAGCTAGGGGTTTGTTGTGGAGCTGGGGACCGGAGGAGGATTTCTTTGAGGCATGGGAGGGAAGGACCCTCGCCTTCTGTACTGCATTTGATGGAGGTTCCTATGGCCATGCGGGATGAAGAGCAGAAAAGTTTGCGTTAGCCTATAATTTCAAGGGTGTTTAATCCAGGCGGTGGGATGACAAAAACCAGGTAATTCTGAAATCAGTTTATAAAAGATACAGAAAGGAAGAGATGGATACCAGGATAAAGATTTAAAGCCAGGAAGCCTGGGTTGCTTCTTTGCTCCCAATTTTTCTTGATCTAGTATCTCGGGTTCCACATCCAGCGCACAGACCTACCTTTCCTGGGGTGACAGAAATTGACAATTTCTTCAAGGTGAAAGATTCAGTTAGTTTCTACATCAGATGACTCTCTATGAATAAATTCACACTTCTGTGCATATAGGTGGGGGGAATCTTAAAACTTCTTGTGGCTCTAAAAACTCGTACAGAATCAAGAAGGCTGAAGAGCTATTATATCTAACCCAGCCCAGGTGCAGATTTCCAGAAGAAAGAAATAAAAATAAAACATAATGATCAGAGAGGAAAAGCTGTGAACTATAAACGTTTCCAGTTTTATATTTTTAAATAGTGCCTCGATTTAAGATATGAGTTCTCCCACAATTAGATTACCACTCACAAGGCTACCCAGCCCCTCCAGGCTCCTGAAAGCCAAGACCAGTGAGGAGGGGGCTGGGGACTGTTGCTTCTCTCCCTACCCCTACCCCTTTTTAGAGCTAGTGTGGGTGAGAGAAGATATTAAAGGGATATCTGTTGTTTGGCAATTTTGCTAAGTCTGTCTTCATTACTTTGCTGCTGTGCATTTGCTAATTTGGAGGCCTGGCCATTGACAAGCTTGCTCCATACACCTGCAAGCAATTTGCCGGCTCCGGTACCAGAGAATTGCAGAGATGGCAGCTCGCACCTATTTGATTTTTTTTTTTCCTTTTCTCAATGCACAGCAAATTTGGCTTTCAGTGCGTTATCTCTTTTGTTAATGCAAAAAGATTCCCTGGGCGAAAAAATTGCTCATAATTACCAGAGAGATGGGGAAACTGCATTAGAATAAATAAACCTGAAATTACTGTAATTATGTTGTGTTTGATGGGCCCGGCTTGTAATCAAGAAGAGAATACAGTGAAATGATGCTGACCCTCTTGGGTTTGCAGCTGTACGCGCACTTTGGGGTCTTTTTTTGCAGAAAAGAGTCATTTTGATAATCATTAAGCTGTGTGTAACCTATTTCAGAAGTGTTTTAAAATGAGTTTCACATTTTTTGAACAAGGGAAAAAAATCCCAAAATTGCATTTTGCCATTACAGACTCATACATAAGGAAAGGTTGTGTTTTCTAAGTGACAATTGTTAAGACATAATATTCGAAATCAGTATTTAATCATTATAATGAGGTATTGTTTAAATATAACCACCTTTAGATTATTCATAGTTTAATTAATATACTCATTATGAAAATCTTTGAATCAGATATTTGATGAACTACTTGTCAGTAACAAGGCAGCATTAATTAGGCCTATATTGAGATTAACATTTTTAAAAAGTACAACCGCTTATAATTATAATAAAGCCTAACTAAAGACCGTTTTCGTTGAGCTAAAACTAATAATTTCTCTATTTGAACTGTTAGCAAGAGATTATTAAATTAGTATAAGCTAATATCTCAAAGTATTACAATCCGCTTGACCAAACAGATTTTGCCTGTAGCTTGAGGCATTGGGCCCTAGCTGCCGTCTGGGGGACCTGAGTCAGATGCCGGACAGAAATCTTCGCACTAGCAAAGTCACATCTCCTAGGGGAAATTGAACCTAGGAAGACCCCCTACCCCGCGCGGGAGCTGGGAAATTCATTCTTTCCTCAGCTTTGAGGCCCATCTGACTGCCCACATCCTGGTTTCTGAGGTCTGATCTCTCCCATCAGCGCTGGTTCTTCTAGGTGCTGCGGAGAAGTCCCAATCTCAGGCCTGGAAGGGGCTTGGAGGTCCCCGGCATCATTCCCCCACCCCCGACTACTTTCCCTGCTTCCATCACACCGCCTCCCCCCACCCCCAGCAGCCCCACCACTTCCTCCTCCCCTTCCCAAAGGGCGTCGGAAGAGCCTGGCGCATCTGATCTTTCACCAGCACCAATTGAAAAATGGGTGCTTGTCACAACACAGATCACTGCCTTCCGGGCTCTGCTCCCCACCGCGCGCCTGAAAAGACCCCCCAAAGGTGGAGGGCCAGCTCCCGCGGGCAGCAGCGCTGGAAGGCGAGTGCGGGAGAAGTAGGAACAGCGCTTGGCAGCCTGTCTGGGCCCGCAGCTCTCCGGGACTGCCTCGGCTCGGCTGCGAGATCTGGGGTGGGGGTTGGGGCTGGGCTGGGACGCAGGGCCACGAGAAGGGAACCAATCTGGTTCTAGTCCCTTGAAGCCCGTGTTCCTCTGGAGGAAACTAATCTGAGCAAGCGCTTCACTAGAGGTGCTCCCATAAGGGCCTGGCCTTGGGACTTTCGGACTGGGATGAGGTGGGAGTGGTGTGCTTGACTTTGGTCAGATTTTGGGGTTCCAAAGTGTCAGCCACCCTTTCCTTAGCACCTCCATTTCTGTGAGGTGCAGAGAAAGGCCCCGGATCATTAGGCAGGAACCTGCCTTTCTCACTGTGGAGCTCCCAGGGTGGCTGCCTGGGACTGTGCCCTGTCCCCTGGAGCGCACTGATTGATAGAGGGGCAGTCTGACAGACGTGTCTTTCCGGGCCCCTGCTTGGCGTCTGGCTGCGTCTTTTCCGCGACGGAATCCAGCGCCTCCGGGCATGCAAAAGCAGGGAGGCCTGATCCGGAGGAAGGCTAGAGGCAAAGCAGTGTCTCTGCTTTCAGGCCTCTCAGCCTCCCAACCTCCCGGCCTCTCAAGAGCTGGCTGGGTGTGGGAAAAACTGAAATCGTCCTGGCCGGCTGACTTTGAACTCTGACTTCATCTCCTCTCAGCCGGTCTTCAACATCCTTTTGGTTCCTGAGCGTCAGCCCTGCCCTGATGCACCTGTTCCTGAGCCCCCTTCCTGGGGAACCCTCGCCAGGCATTCTCTCCTTACCCTTCCAATTCAGGTAGGAATCAGACACCTTGGGGGTCAATGGAGCAAGGCAGGAAGAAAAAGCCCAATGGGGCACCTCACAGGCCTCTGACGATACCCTGGTGTTTCTGGGGTACAGGGTCTCCATTCTATCACCGATAAGTTGATAAGTCGCTGACCCTGTATGAACTGTCTCCAGAGGCGGGAACCTGGCCTGGCCCCCTGGCACAGCCTCACACAGCACAAGAGAGCAGTTCTTTCAAGAAATCATAATTTTACTGTCTCAAAGAAACTTTATAACTTATTTACAAAGTTTTTTTCCCAAGATACAAAGCAATAAGTTAACATTCTCAATATAAAACTAAACTTTGACATAGAGAACACAAAACACAGTTGATTTCAATTGATCACATTTTCCAAATTTCACAAGAAAAATGTCAAGATTCTCATTTCACAAAGCATGGGGTTTTACAGCCACACACAACAGAACGCAAAAAGGCTAAGCTTGTGCAACATGTTTACAGAACAACAATAATAACAATAATAATAATAACAATAATATGTACAGTCATTAGATCCTGCACTGGAGATTGTGCGTTCAGGGTGGTGACTGGCATTATTCTGTGGTCGAGCCTCTAGGGATTGTTGTAAAGCTGATTTTGTCTTATTTTAAAGCCCACTGGAATTAGAGTGCTTGTTCTCGCCTGTTTTCTCTCTACTCCCCATTTGCCCTCGCTCCCTCTTTCTACCCAAGGAGGAAATCAGCATTTTCCTTCTTGTCCAGGCGAAGCAACAGAGTTCCTCCCGAAATGAGAAAATCATGTTGGCTTCATTTATCGTTCTTTTCTTTTAAAAATTATTTATTAAATAATGTCGGACATGTAAAAAATGCAAATCATTCGGCTCCAAACTCTCCATACCAGAGAAGTACAAAAGTTACTGTATAAATTAAAAATCACCACGTCCTCCTTATTCGTTTCTCCCCGTGCGCTTAAAGTAAACAGTGCGTTTGAACAGTGCGTTCCTTGCGCCCAGCAGAACCCTGAATTGGCAAACAGCCTCAGGCGAAGTCCATTTCTCAATAAATAAAACCCCCTCCCTCCAATGCCCCCAGATTCCCACACCAGCTACACAGATGGTCAGGCAGAGTGTCCCAGGATCCGGAGATGGTCAGCCCGGCAGGACCCGGGCCGCTCAGACCTTGTGGCTTTTTGCTGAGGCCGCAGAATGAGGACAGCGGACGGATGAGGACCTGGACTTTACCAGCGCACAGACAGAGCAAAAGGAGACAGGAGACTGACAGGACAGAAAAGAGCTTTTGCTTTTTCTACATTTTGTTTTTGTTTTGTTTTTTCCTGATAGTCCCACAAAGCTGAAGGTCGGCGGGTCGGGTGGAGCGGGTTTATCTTGCTGCTTGGGCTGTCTCAGGTGGCAGTGGCTTCCCTCCGAGGCCACTCTCTGCTGCCACTGCTCGGCCCAGGCCAGGGTTCAGGCTAGAGCGCGGATGCCGGGAAGTTGCTGGGCCGGACCTCGCGGGGCTCCGAGGAGATGGAGGGCGTCCCGCCTCCACTGTTCCTTCTTCCCTCTGGGTCCTTCTTTTCCGGACGGGATGGATGGACCTGGAGGCGGGAGGGACCTGGGCCGGGGAGACAAGAAGGAGACGGGCGGGCAACCTCACATAAGTTGGGGTTGCTGCATAGCTTCTTGGTGCGCTGAAGGGTACCACGATGTGTAGCTGGGGATATAGGAGCCCGCGTTTCCTCCTGAGCCCTTCCCGGATGAAGAGTTAGGGTTCCAGCCGGGCGGCACGGGTGGGGAGCCAGCAGACAGGGCCCGACCGTTGGCCAACGCACTACCCTCCAGAGCCGCCCCACCCTGCTTCATCAGCTTCTTGAACTTGGATCGCTTGTTTTGGAACCAGATCTTGACCTGCAAGAGCGGACAACAACGTGACTCAGGCTGGGACCACTGAGCCTACCTAGGTCACAGGGAGGAAAAAAGGGACCGCAGAACAGCAGAGATAGGACCTCCCAACCCTGCGCCAGCTGGCAGCTCCCTGCCAGAGAAGCAGAGACATCCCTCCTTCCTCCCTTCCCCCATAAGAGCCAAAGGCTCGAAGGCCGAACCTCCCGCCGCCGTCAGCCCACGGGGGCAGCTCTCAGAGAGCCAGGGAGGAGTTGTGATGAGGGGAGAACCGGGATCCAGGCCTTAGCCTGCCAGGGGCTCAGTCCGACCGTGGCTACCGCCTGCGGAAGATACAGCGCCTGCATAACACCGAGCCAGCAATTCCAATATCAACATCAATAAAAAGAATCGAAAACCTAGGAAGGAGTGGAGGAAATTTATTTGCAACGCGACCCAACTTTTCTATGCGCCATCTTTTCTGCCCTTGAGTTGGGACGGACTAAGGAGGCCTCAAGGTTTTGCTGAACTTCTCTTTGGATTCAAAACCATTCTTGCACTAGTGTCTGTTTGCTTTCTCCAGCTCTGCTCCAAATCCCGGACCGGACGTCGGAAACCCGCGCCCGCCGCCGTCAGGAACGCTCACGGGCTCCCCGGAGTCTTACAGAAAGCCGGGAAGGAAGGTCCCGTTTCTTCTCTAAGGTCTGGGACTTGAGAGGTGAGAGGGCGGAGGAAAGGATCTCCCCCCACCCCCAACCGGTAAGAAGGAGGAGGAGGAGGGAGGCTGAGGCGCGGACCCAGGCCCCGAGTGATTAGTCACACAATTTAAAGGCAAAGGAGGGATTAAGCCCGGAGTCTATTGTTCCAGTTGTTTAGGCACGTGTGACCTCTGAGTTCCCAAACAAATCGTCTGGGGAAATCCTTCCTGCGCCCTAATCAGATTGTCCAGGGACAGAGGGCCGGACGGCAGGCAGCTCGGGATACCGAGAGCAGTGACAGAGCTAGGGCAGAGGGAATGAGGGAGGAAGGAGACACGCTGAGAGCCAGGGGTGGACACAAACACATACACACAGTGACACCCCGACCCTGAGTCCCAGCGAGCAACAAATGAAGACCCGGGCGCAGGCCGGCCGCGGAAAGCCTGCGTGGCAGAACGGAGCGGCAGCGGCGAGGTACCTGAGTCTGTGTGAGTCCCAAAGAGGCCGCGAGCTCCGCCCTCTCCGGCAGAGCTAGGTACTGAGTTTGCTGGAACCTCCGGTTCAAAGCCTGCAACTGCAAACTGGAATAAATCGTCCTGGGTTTACGGATCTTTTTTCCCTTGCCATTGAAGCGCACTTCACCGCCTTCCACCACCGTGCTCTTCTCCGAGTCCGCCCCTGGAGGGACAGCAGAAGTAGGGCCCGTTGTTAATACGAGGGGCCGCCTTTAGTGCGAACAGCCGAGAGCGAGTGGCTACCGAAGGGTGGCGGAGGCAGCACCAGGGAGAGAACGTTCAAGAAACTCTGAAAGCCAGGGAAGGGTCCCCCAAAATCCGAGGGCCTGTCCCGGGACGCTGCAGGAGGGATAGAGCCGTTCCCAGGAGCTCAGCTCCTGCCTTTGCAGGGAAAGTTTGCTATTTTTGCAGGCGGTAGTTGAGGTTTAATTACCCTTAATTGCATACATTGTTTATAGCGCTACGCAATAAATAATTACCGAGACTAATACGTGCACATGTGGGTTTCTGTTTTCCAGCGGGGCATTGTGTGCTCTGCACACCGAGCCGCCCAGAGGCCCAGCCAGTGCCAGGAGACGCTCTGGGATTTATCCTTGGCTGGATAGTTGCAAATTGAGGGAATTTTTAAAAAAATTTATTTGCTGTGACAAGGATCTATAGATTGATATTCGAAACCTCCACTGCTCCCGCGCCCTCCCCACCCCCACCCCACCTCGCTCTCCTCTCTTCTCTTTCTCTCTCTCTCCCTCTCCTCTTCTCCCCCGCTCCTTCTTTCCCTCTCTCCCTTGTACCTCCTCCTCTCCCTCTCCCTGGCAAGCGCACGTACCTGGGTCCTCCAGGCGGCTCTGGGCGAGGCTGGCGCTGCCCGGGTAGGACTGCACCGAACTGATGTAGGGGCTGGATGCGTGGCTGCTGACCGAGTTGACGTAGGGGTAGCCCAGCGGTCGGGAGAAGGACGAGGCTGAGCTGTAGGCGCCGTCGGGCTGCGAATGGCCCGCCGAGTGTAAACAGTGCATGGAGTAGTGCCCGTGGGACATGGGAGAAGGAGACATTTGCTGGTTGGGCGGCCCAAACTCCATAAACACCGCCTTGCCCGACACGGGGCTGTTGAGACTTTCTGGCATGGTGGTCATGGTCATCTCTTCTCGCGGGGTCTGGGTGTGGGACTTTCTCTCCTCTGCTTCCCTTTTGGGGGTCTCTATGTTTCTCAGGACAGGAAGGAACCCAATTTAAGCGGAACAGGGGTTTTCACTTTCCATTCATAAGAAAATGGAGTTTGTCTCTTTGAAAAGTCTAAGCATGATGCTGCTGAGCTCCCCAAACTCGGTTCAAAGCTTTGACTCAGCGAAGGTCATAAATATTCATGAGCTGGCGGAGCTGATTGGTCCGCTGTCTTGCATAATCACTGGGGATTGGTCCGAGGCGCTCGGGCTCCGCTGGACTAGAGCGGGCGAGGCGGCCCGGCCTCGGGTAAGACGCATCCACACTTCCCGGCCGGGGCTCCTCTGCAACAGAGCGCGCCGGGCAGGAAGCACAATGGGCTGCGGCGTCTGCGCCGGGGCCCCTGCGGCCCGCGGCTCATCGGCCTCCCGCCTCCCTCGCGCGCTTTCCTCCCCAGGAACCAACCAGCGGCTCCGCGCCGCCGCCCCCCTACCACTGTCCCCACCCTTCAGCGGTCCCTAACACCGGACACCCGGGACCGCTTCTCGTCGCTGCCACTCAGTTCGGCGCAGAGCTAGGGCGGCTCAGGAGGAGACTGACCTCTGCCTCTGGAGCGCGGAGTCGCGCACTGGGGGCGCCCGAGGCGGCCAACAGACAGAGGTTCTCCTAAGAGCCTTGTGCCTAGCGCAGCGCCTATCCGGCCGCGCCTCCCCGGTACGCTCTGCCGCATCCCTGGAGTCGGGGCTTAGGGGCCCTCCCTGCGAACTCACTCACTCGGCCGCTGCGCCAACGCCGCTGTCGCTCCCTGGGGCCCGCTCGCATTGCTCCAGGCCCAGCTGGCCACTCCAGCTCGAGGCTGCACGGGTCTGATTAAAGCAGTGCGCGTGGAGAGCCAGGAACCCGCGCTTCTCCTCCCAGGAAAGGCGGCTGCACCGCCCCCTCCCCCAACACACACATCCTCTTTCCCTCCCAGCCTTCCTCCTCCTCCCCCTCCCTTCTCCACTCCCCATGCGCGGAGAGCCCCGGGCTCACTCGCCCCGAGAGCGCGGCTCAGCGTGGAGCCCAGGGGGCCTAGGGGCTCAGATCTGCTGGAGCCACCGACGCCAGGTGGTCATTTTCCGGCCTCCTGAGGTCTAGCGCGACTTCCAGAGTTTAGGAGTCCCTGGGGGACACCGAAACCCGCAGCAAACCCAGGCCTGTGGTAGGCTCCCTTATCTATGTGTAGACGTCTCTCGTTGCCACCCAGGATCTTCCTCACCTCCAGTGGCCAAAGCGCGCGCCACCAGGCCTAGGGGGCAGGGCTAGTGGAGGCAAGATCTGCCGCTGCTCCTTCTGTCTTCTGGGGTGCTAGGTACAAAAAAGTGCACAAGAGCCCCCACCCCATCGCCACTACTACCAATACAGCCAGTCCCTCGCGGTGTGGCGTACACCACCCTGGCTGTAAGTGGATGTTGGTTCCCCATCCCGCCAGCCCCACGGTGAATCCCAAATTACTTTGTTAGGTAATTAGAAAGTGTTGATAATTATTTCTTTCATAATTTAGCGGTGTGACGGGAACGGGGAAATGATCTTGTGAAAGTTCACACGTGCAGATGTATTAGTTACTGATTCATTTGATTAAATGGTAGTCTCAAGTGCTCAGATCCGCAGCTGAAGGCGCCCCATTAGCATAACACTGATGTTTAATTTTCATACGCATAATTAGCCATATATTTAACACTAATAGCAACATGCAGCCTTTCAGCGTTAAACAGCCCGGGATTTGATCTGGCCTGAGCTGAACCTTCATCGCTGCACCTTCCCCTGTCTGGAGTGTGCAATGATCACAGGACAAACCTCTGTAATCAAGCACATTTTGGCAGAGGGAACACCAATAAAAATGAACATTCAAAACAAATTACATCGGTGCTGTCGTTACAGATATTAGTAGAGGGGGTTTCTCTTTTTTTTTAACTTCTGTACCAGCTGCTGCTGCCCGCAGAATTCCTCTCCTTTGGTTTAAGGGCACAATGCTGGGGGCAGAAATATTTCAGGCAGAGTGGTTGGAGCAAAAAGAAAAGCAAAAGCAAAAAAAACCCAATACGCCAAACCAATAACGGGTTTGCCAACGTTTAAAAGATTTTTTTTTTCTTAATCACCGAACCACACGGTGAGGCTTTGTAGCAACAGCCAGCTAATGATTCCGCCACCAGGCAACTCCGGGAGCCGCTCGGCTCGTCCTGATTTCTGTGTCGCACTTGTGGTTTTAATTGCTCCTTCCTAGTGCCTGTTTTAGGGTATGGAGTGCCACGCCGTGTGCCCAGCACAGTCGCTCGGATACTGCCGGGCCCCAGGTCTCTCGCGCGTGCCCTGAGGGCCTTGCCCAAGTAAGTGATCGCCGCGGCGGGCGCGGGGTCGGGGTTGGGACCGGGGAAAGCGGAATTGGTAATTCCCGGAGCTCAGGGCAAGGCGTGAGGAAACCCGACGGCCGGGCCGCCTAGGGACAGTGTATTCCAGAGACTTGCAAGGTGGGGGAAGGGGAGAGACGGCCGCACATCGCGACAGTCTCTTGGGTGCTCTGTGTCCACAGCTGGAAAAGGATCAAAGACTTTTGCGGTAGCACAGGGGACCTGGTTGCCTTCTTGGAACAAAAGTCCGGCATGAGCCCCTCGGGATACTGTTTCAGAGCCTTGCTTAATTTAGAAGCGGGTTGTGTGTGAGCAAGAGATGGCTACACTCCGGAATTATTTCTTAGCTCAGAAAGGTCTAGGGAGGAGCACTGAGCGCGGGCCCTCTGATGCCGAGCCGCTGGCGGTAGCTGGTTTCTCAATGTGGGATCTTAGCTGCACTCAGTGAACTTGGAGTGGATCCCTCCCACCCCCTACTGCTAAGGTGACACCTGTTCTGAATGCCGGTTTGCTTAAATTGTTGCCTGCCCTCACTCTGAGAGAAAACAAAACTCTCCCATTTGTCCTGAGGGTCCGGGATTCCTCATGGAGCCTACTGGAGTCACCTCAGGACCAGGAGGTCCTGGTGGTGTTAGCCGCAGCCACTCTTGGCTGGAATCCCAGTGGCTCTGGGTGAGGTTTTCGGCCAGTTCAGCTGGAAGAGGGACAGGAAGGCGTGGACGAGGTATTTTTAAATCTACTTCCTAATCTCAACTTCAAAGCATGTTAAAGGGAGTTCTTTAGGGAGCTGCTGAGTGTTGGTACACACATACACACATATATATATACACCCACACACTTTAGGTTAGTCCCTTTAATAAATGGAATTATAAACTTGTCCCATAAATACCTCCACCTCAAAATAATTGCTGCACAAGCAGCGTGTTACCTCAGTGGTTAGTAAAGTCCTGTGGTCCTAATAAAACTATCCTTGGGGAACCTCGGAGTAAACTGATTTGCAGATAAGATACAATGCTAATGGTTGCAATCTGATTGCCTTAGGAGAAAACTGAAGTCATTCTCCAGCAAACATCTCCCAAGGCCAGCTGAACCCTCTTGATCTTTAGGGAATTCAGATCTTTGGGGGGGTGGGGGGCAGTAGCATCAGGCTGTGGGCCTCTGCTTGGCCAACTTCCGACCACACAAAAAGTTTTTCTATGGACCTTGTAAATCATCAACCCCTCCTTGGTCTTTTCCAGTTCTCAGACTCACTAGAATCAGAAACACCTCTATCCAAAAATCTACAACCCTGGACACAAAGAAGCCGAGCTGGAGGGGTTGGGGGACGACGAGAGAACCCTGTGTTAGGTAAAAGCTGGAACTCATCTCTTTTCCGAGCCACCTGGTCCTCAGTTTCCCGTATTATGAATGTTACAAAGATGAGCTGGCTCTTAGTCCTGGCCGAGGACACCACCTGTCCTGGCAACTACAGGTGCCATTTCCTTGCCGCTTCCGAAAGCCCAAGTTATCTTTAAGGGATGTCAGCTTTGCAAAACCCGCTTCAGTAGAAACAAGAGTTAGCACAACCATTAACTGCTTGAACACCCTCGTTGGACTTGTTCCTAAAATCATAACCGAAGGCAGACGGCTTCCTTCGTGGACTGCCAGAGGCCCGGCCTCTCCCTGCCCTTGAGCTCAGGTGAGGAACAGGTACCGGAGAGCAAGCGCAAGGGAAAGGAGGGTGCTCCGGGCAGGAATGGCCCTTGGCAGACAGAGCGTGGGCCCTTGGATTCCTGTTCCTGAAGCGGGATGGAACTGCCGGCCGAACTGGAGCTCAACTCGCAAGCTTCAGTCCCGGCCAAGTAGGCCCTTGCTCTCAAATGCGCCCGTATCTCCTCTCTCTGGGACCCTCTCGGTTTCCAGAACAGCTGACGTTTGCGGCTCCTGCAGCGTGCAAGCGCGGGTCCCGATGCGAGAAGGGCCAGTCTGGGGAGGGGTCATTTTAGAGACTAGACCGCCCACTAATCAGCCACTGTTCACACCTGGGCGAGTGGGGCCCAAGCTCGAATTCCTAGTGCAGCAAACGGTCTAGCGTGCGTGCGTGCGTGTGGGGTGGGTGGGGGGAGGGCCTCAAACTTCACCTCTGGACTGGCCTTGGAGGGCTGGATGTGGGCGGGGGAGGAAGAGCCGCAGGGGTCCAGGAAAGTCGCGTTTCTGGATTGACAGAAACCTGAAGAATGGCCAGGCCCAGAGTCCACTGCCAAGGACATGTTTGTAATCAATGCCTCTGTTCGCGGGCTAATCTTTCATCGCAAAGCCGCGATGGAGGGGAAAGATACGGAAGGGCTGGGGTTGGGGGCTGGCTTCTGCGAGCATCCTTGGGGCCGGCCAATATGGAATACACAAAAGGGAGAAACGGATTCTTAAAAATCCCAGTCAACAGGTTCGGATTTTTCGGCAGACGTGCAAAGTTCAGATACAAAGATCACTGTAACTGTCAGAGAGGTAAGGACCTCTGATACAATGGATTTAAGAGGTTTTTTACTCCAACAGTCAGGGCAAGGGAAAGAGAAAACCGTGCTTCTCTTGGAATCTCTTCCAACAAGGGGGTTTCCTCCAGTCCCCTCCAGATGCGTTGACCGCGCTGGGAAACCGAGTCCAGGGCCAGGATTTGTTTTTCCAAAGCCGCGCGACCCCAGCAGGGCTTCAGATCCGAGTTCCCAGTTGCTCTTCAGTCTCCCCCGCGTTCTTCCAAACGCTATCAGGAGCCACGCAGGTTACCGCACCACCGGTCATTTCCCTGTTTCTTCTAAAAGTTCTCCAGCCAAATTTCAGCAATTTATTTAAAAAGGCACCAGGTCACCGCGACCTTCGGGCGGCTCCTCAGGCCTCATGGGGTAGTTTGGTCAGGATCTGCGCGCCCCTCGACGTGATCAGAACCGTGTGCTCGAACTGCGCCGACCTGTAACACAGCACCCAGCCGTCAGAACGCGCACGCAAGCTCCGGCCGGGCCACAAGCGCGCCGTCGGACCAATCTTCCTTTCCCATACAATTTAAAAGCAACAGAGCAGAAAGCAAACACCTTTGATTGTCTAGGGAGACCACAGTCCATGCATCCTCCAGGACTTTAAATTCAGGGGATCCCTCCGTGATGATTGGCTCTGTAAGAGGAAAAATATTTACTGCAGTGACCTCATCAGATTCTTGTTAAACATTGTTTCCGGCTGATTATTAAAAAAGAGAAGTTTCTCCTCCCTCCCCTCAAGTGCTTCCCCCACAGGCTCATGTTGTCATCTTGCAAGGGTTGATAATTGATGTTGCTTACATAGTATACTACAAACTAAACAGTTGGAAGAGGAAACACTGCGCCATTCAAAATGTATGAAGTTGCCTAGTTCGTAATTTTTTAGAGAAAGAAGGGCATTTTAATCAAGCTTTAATTAGGACCCCGTGGATAATAACCACCCAAACACCAGTCCCTCTTATAAATACCAATTTTTAAAAAAATATTTAAATTTTAAAAACATGCTCGAGATGTTCATTCATCAGCAAATAACAATTTTCTTATTTCACTCTAATTGCTTCTCCATTAAGTCCCACAGTCAGAAACAGGATGTCTTTACGGCCCTAGGTGACTGGAATTTGGTGGTGATACCAATCACAGGATCAGCCAGGAACGGGCCACCAGAGAGCACATGCCACTTGCTGACAGGGAGCAAGGGACATAATCGTGTCTAGTTACTGGGTGTTAATGAAAAAACAAAACAAAACAAAAAACCCAACACCACATTATGCTGGTAACAGAATTAGAGGTTGGATGGCTGCCTTCTCCTAAATGTGTCGGTAAGTATCTGATTTAGGAAGATGGGGCTTGAGGATATTATTTAATCAGATTTCCAGTGCATCCGAATTATTTCATTACACTGATTGGCTTTATTGGTCCTTCACCGGACTGCCGGGCCTAGGCCAGTGGCAAAAGCTTCCACCAGGAGCTACGCACTCACTCGGAAGAGGAGCTCAATTTACCTATAGTGAATGCCATGCCCTCCTCCATGGGTAGATCACTGTCGTTTGCTGCAAAACAAAAAACATGGGGGGTGAGAATAGGAAATGGGGAGGACAGAAAAAAAAAACAGATTACAGGGGTCAGGCCCCTTTAAAAAACTTGGTCGTTTTATTTCTCTTCTTTTAGAGAAGGAAGGGTGGAGATTTCTGGAGTCCTGGATAGTGACCAGGAGTTAAACACGGGGCTACTGGGCCTGAGTCTTTGCATTATCTGTGCTCTGGGTCAAGACTCCCCCAGAAGAGTTTTCCAAGGCCTGGCAGGGGCAGCCTGGTTGTTTCAGACACGTCAGGCTTCCTCGCCCCCTCTCCCTGTCCCCCAGGCTACTAGGTCTCCCAGCCTACTACTGGGTCCTGGGCCTTGCCCACACCCCTCACTCAAAGAAGTCCTGGGGAAGGATGCAAAGGAGGGAAGCCTCCTTTGGTGCAGGTTGTGGGGAGCAGGGGCCTGACTTCAAATAGCTTCACTCCAGACATTGGCACCAGGTAGGGCACAAGGCTGACAAGCCGTTTCTGCACTCTCACCTGAACCTCTTGAGCTGCCTAGGTGGGGGCTCTTTGGTCCAAAGAGGGTTTGGACCTGCTGGGTGTCCAGCGATCCTCGAGGGCATGGGTCCGAAAGAGTAGTCCTTCTATGGACCAATCAAGTCCATAGGGGCACAGGTCAAGGCCCCAGGACCAACTTTCCTTTGATCCCCGTCCAGGTGTGGACCTGCCTTGAGGGTGCTCCACTGAGCTGCCTCCTACCTCAATCCAAATCCTCCCACCCCTCTGGGCCCACCCCTGTCTTCTCACTATAGGGTGCACACCCAGGCAGTGAAAAACAAGAGATTCTGGGGAAGGAAGACAAGGGTGGGCATAATCTAGAAATCACGAAGGAGTACATGCTGCTAAATACATCAGCTGTCAACGCTGTGTAGGATGTAATGAAGTTTAACCACAACAGTCAGCAGCTAGAAAAGGGGGTAGAAAAAGAAAAACAGAAACAGTCATATGTGCATGCTGCTGGGACACTGATGCAGTGGCGTTTTGTTTTCAGTAACTTTTTCTACACAAATATCCCTTGTGCCTTCCAGCCATGCACCCTTCAGGAGAAGACAGAGAGCAAAATAAACCTTATTTTGGGATTGAAACAGCTGGGCTCTAATCCAGTAACACAGTAATGTCCCGGTTAAAATTAAGCAGACCCCCCTCCCCTGCCCCCTGCACATAAACACACACACAAACACAAGGTTGATAATGCAGATTCAAAGTCAGAGGAAGAGCTTCAGGGTCAAAGCTGCCACATCTTGATCTCTGATCAAGAAACAGCCTCCAAATGAACTTTCTTACCATGATGCCAAATTTCTGGATGTCCATGAAAGTAAGATCCTATTCCATGTCCCACAAAATGTGGACAGACTTGAAAACCATTCTGATGAGTTATGTGGCTTTAAAAGTGACCAAAAAATATTTAATTAAATTAGATAAGTTTTTCAGGCATACTAAGATAAAACAAAGTCACTTTAAAATATTCTCTGAAAAAGAAAAAGTCAGTAATATTTAGAGTCAGATAATAACATTCATGTGTTTTCATTATGCTGTAATAATTTTAATTTTTGCTGTTGCCTGCAACCACTGTCTTTGGATATATGAAGAGAGAAGGTACATATCTATCCAACACAGTCGTTTGAGTCATTTACCTTTGTACAGCATTCAAACAAAGCCACTTTTAGACAACAAGTGAGTGTGTATACACACATAGTGATTGCCATACATAACCGGGATATATGTGCATATAATGCAGGTCATAAAAACCTGCCTGGCTTTTTTGAGGTTTCACAAAAAGACTATAAATTACTCCTGATTGGGGAACCAAATATAAAACAAATTACAATATAGAAATATGACTTTCTACTTCTATGGTTCCCTTTTTCTGCTCTATTTCAAAGTGTTACACATTTTACCAACAGGCACACTCACACGAAAAGCTCAATCTACTTTGTCAATATTCTTGAAATACTCCAAAACCGTGAGATCATTTGAGAGTTCCATTCAAGACCTGCACCATTAACAAAATTCATAAAGAATGCTTTTTAATCACTAGGATGCTTAAGATAAGCTAGTATTGTGATTCCCAATTCTTAGTGCTTCATTAGTTACTTCATTACATGTATGTGGAGAAGTACATTGCATGCACTACATTAGTTACATGCAAATGTTTTACATTCCATCTGAAACCAAGCACACAGACTCCAATTCTAAAATCTTCATCTACAAGATTGAAAAGTAGTCCTTGAAATCAGCTAACATGTTTATTTTGGGGAGCATCAGACAAACAAGAACATATATACTATTAAGAATTTATATTTTCATGTGGACAAAGGGCAAAATGCCCCTAACCCTAACACTAGATTGGGATTTACAGGACTACTATTTCAATTATTAACAGAACTAAGTTTCTAGATCTCAAACTAGAGTCTCTAACAGACTCTAAGTTTAGTTTAACATGAACCCACAGGCTTTCAGCCAGCATCTTTATGGCCATTCATGTTTATACATTTTTCTAAATAATTTTAACCATCCCCAGACTTGTAAGACAGCTTCACTTAGACCTGGATGTCACTATAACCAGCAGATGGGCAGCCTCTTATTCAGATTTAATTTTGATGTAACTGTTAGTGCAGAAATAGGTAAGCTATACATATGTTGAGGACAGGAACGGTAAGTCAAGGTTTTTATCTCTTACGTTGTACTTTATGGTTATTTCTGTGGATCTTTGGTGGGCAAGTATTTCTATTTGGTGTTTCCCAAGGTGTTTTTATTTGTGCCACACAGTTTCTGAATAAACACTGAGGATGAAGAGTGAATACAGGGTGGAAGAAAGATAATTAAATAGGACATAATAATCTAGATTTTTTTTTTTTTACAGGAACAGTTTCTCCCTAAACCTATAAATTATGTTAGTTCAATCCCAACAAACCTCAATGATTCTAAGAACACTCAATATAAACTATTCTATTTTCTCTTCTAAAAAAAAAAATCTAGGTTCTTTTTTTTTTGTTTTTAGAGGATCCGGCTGATTGGCAGGCATCACGGCTACATCTTAAATGTGTGTTACAATGGCAATCTTCATTTTAATTTCCGATGAGAGGAGAGGAAGAAAGCCCACTCTGAAAAAACACTTAGGGTCCCTCCCCCCATCATACCTCTCGTTCCTCTGCATAAAAGAAGCTGTGCAATTACTAGGTGGCTAAAGATATCTAAGAGCATTCTCCTACAACAATTTACTCCGTGGGTCCTGCTGGAACTTCTGGCTCCAGGAGTATCATAGAATCTGTGTGTCATGGATGCAAAGGTTAGAGGATTTCACAGCCAGGTGGAAAGAGGAAAAGAACAGGCCAAATTTCCCCCAGTTCCCTGCTTGAGCACATCTTAATGCCTGACTCTCAGGAGCTGAGTATACACTCCTGTTTGCTTTGCAGAGTATTTTCCTTCTGGATTGGTAGGTGGTTTTTAGCACTTACTGGAACTAAGTCAGATAGGATCTCATTAATATTCCTAATTACTGTTTAAAAGCATTCCCTTTCTATTATTTTGGAATAAATGGGGAGCACAAGATTATTTACCTGATTGTAGGGTTTAAGTCCAAATTCACAGAGACAATCCAAGTGACCAGTAGTAGCAAATTTCACTCCTCTAATTTGAAAGAAAGTACTGGTAACCCTAACTGTGGCATGGGGAGTTGGAGTATGTCTGCAGCTCTTGACTGGCATGCTGGGGAAAATGGAAACAGCAGGGCAGGCAGAAGCACCGAAGTGCTCCCAAACACCAGTCACCACAGGCCATAACCCTTTTCTGTGCACAAGAGTTTTCTTGCCCTGGACATTTCACGGATAAAATCTGTCTTCGCTCTGCTGAAACCTACTGAAAAGAATTCTCCTGGTAGTAGATCTTCTGATTTTCTCTAACTAAAAATCCTTTAAGACAGTGTGACATCTGCCCATGAACCCAAGCACACTTGTGATTTGAGGCCTTTTATATGGAATATTTGGAGAGGGAGAGGAGGATACATAAAGGTTGTTTATGAACTTACTTTCCTATTATACTGTCTGATTACAATTCATGTTGTAGTTACAGTTTATACATGAAAAAGATACCTCTTTTAAGGAATTTCATCTTGTGACCATTTTCTTCAGTTTAATTCCTTTTCATGAGGCAGTTATACTCAATTTAAATGTCACCTAGGTAAATTAAATTTCTTAATACTTTTCAACTAGTTTTTTGACTAAAAATACATTCCCCAAGAGGGCAGAGGAGTACTATGTTTACGTACATGCTGTTATAAAGAAATAAAAATGCACATGAAAATAGATTTATTGCCAATTTTACATTAATCCTATAAACAGCACTAATCTCCAAATAGTCACATCTCTAATAAATGATCTCAAATGGCATGTTATTTCATAAGTTATGAAATTTTTCTTTACTCTTTCTAGATATTTATTTTAGGCAGTAGTTATGAATGAAGAAATGCACAAATCCAGGGATTCCTTCTAATGAAAAGGAATGTTTAAGTACAATTAGTAATATTTTTGAAAGCCAACAACTGTTTTCCAAAAAAGTAGTAGATTTTTTTTGTTTCAAACCAGATCACAAATTACTGTATTTTTCTTACAATAGTGCTGAACTTTTATTTGAGGTTTTCTGTTTCTGAAAAGCAGACATGATGGATTGAAATAAAAGATAATTTATTGCAATGCTTACTTTCATGTGCAGAGAGAAGCAGTATAATTGTAATTTACAGTAGCTGTCAAGAAAAATCCATCACAGATGACATTAAAATGACTTATTTTGCCTGAGCCACTTATTGTTTAAATGTGCGTAATCTAATAGAAAGAGATTATTTTTTAAAAATCTGCTTTATATTGTTCCAAATTAATATCAAAACATATAGTTATGAATTAAACATTAAAAACCATTTATTGATACTTTCATCATGACATTTACAAGTTTAAATTATTTTTGATTGAACTGTCACATATTCATGATGCATGAATCTACACATTCACAATATACTCATATGTACAGATTGTATAATCTAGAGATAATTATAAAAATACAGATTTAGAAATATTTTAAAGCAAATGGAGATACAGTGAGTCTAGTAACACTATGACCTAAAGATTACTAGACATTCCTCACAAAAGCAAAAGGGCCCAGAGAGAACTCTTTCCATTAAAACATTTTAGCTGATACTTCCTCAAAGACATTATCTTCTTTAGGTTTCAGAGGAGAATTCCAAAATTTCCTGTAGAGATCTCAAGGTTTTTGATAACATGATACTAATACAAGTTGCTTGTTCTTTTCCTAGTGTATCAGTAGAGAGAGGCTACGCAAAAGATGGTGAATATCTTAAAATAAACAAGACCGAGTTGAAAGATGTTTGTAAACCTTTGGTCTGTAATGATTTCAAGTACTTTTGGCTTAAAGGTAAATATGGTTTGTTTACTTATTCCCCTAAGATTTTGCCAGAATAAGAAAAGGCAAGATAATAGGTGTCCAGAAACACTGCTTTAACACATCAGAACAAATATTTGTTAGAATCGGGGCCAGTTTCCTTTCTAGCGGCAGACATAAACCATCTAAATAATGAAATGTATTAGGGTACAAGTAAAAAGTTCATTGTCTGTTATTTTCCACATAGTTTTTTTAAGTGCAGTTGTTGGGACTGACTGATCTGGTTTTCAAAAAAGCTTGTACATGCAAATTCATACTCTGTGAAAACTGACCTTTGTATCCAGATAGCTAAAATCCAATGTCACTTTCAATTCTACTCTTCTTCTTCTTCTTCTTTTTTTTTTAATGTAGCTAGAATTAATGTAGTGAATATGTAATGAAATGCATTATCCTGCATGGAGATTTATCAAATTTTCCAACTGAATGCTATGCTTTGCTAGTACTAGCTGGAGTTCACCTGCATGTTGGTGTGGCGTGTGGCTCTTTTTTGTAAAGAGTTAAGTCGTACACAAAAAAAGGGAACAAAGGTCAGCACCCAGCCGCCACTTGAATGTGAGATTTTTCTTTTTATTCCCCTTGATGTATACTAGGCTCTGTGTTATTAGTCTTAATGATGGAAAATTGTAGTGTTGATACAAATCTTTTTTTCAAAGTAGTAGGCGGGAGCTCCATTTGTTAGTAAGTTTTTTTTGTGACTAAAAGCCATGGACAGTACATTTATGTAGCAGTAAAAGGCCTAGATGCTCTTTCCATAGCAGAGCTAATTATTCCTACTGTGACCTTACTGATCTAGCCTGTTCCTAGCACATCTCATCTGCACGCCTGTTCCTCTGTGTAGATGGTGTCAGAGAATATGAAAAACCCTATAATGAAACCATTTTCATGATGGAGAAAGGCTACTGGAGTTGCACTTGCTACAAAGAGGCTCAATTATATGAGTAATTGTGATAATTTTCTACATTCATAGCCTTCAATGGGGGAAAAAGAATGAGAGCCACAAAGGAAAATTACTTTAACAAGAAAGTACAGAGAGTAAAAATGGAAGAAGAGACAAAAAGGGGAAAAAATAACCAGAAAAAAAGTTTAAAAAATAGATCTGGAGGGAGGAATAGCGAGACAGGGAGAACAACAGAAATGCTCAAAAGCCCATGTGCAGCTGTGTTGCACAATTAAATTGAATTTTTTTTTCTGCAGTTGATGAATGTGACTACTGCAAATGTGCCTCTGTAGTTAGCTATCATTTGTTGTTCCGTGACAGGAAAAGGATAATTACCTCTCAGAGAGAATCAAAGGCTGACATGCCCTTTAGACACAGCCATGAATGCAGAGCTCGATAGAATGCTTGAATAAGAATCTAGTGTTCTCTGCCCCCTTCTACTGAAGAATAAATTTTGTTAAAATGCAAGAGCACCACCAGTAAATTTGTTGAACCCTAGGTGTTCAAAAATATGAGGTGCATCTATCGACTCATCCCATTTGCAAAAATAAAACTGCATTTTGAATTCATTTCTATTATATTCATGGACAGTAAGATAGTGAGATATGCATTAAATTTCTTTTCCCAGTAGGGGTCTGATTCAACATTTCCTATGAAAGAACAGAGAGACACTATCCTTTTTTCCCAGGCTAGTTAGCCTATAATTTAAAACTGTCAAAAACACAATTTTGTTCAAAGTCTTCAATAAAAGCTTCTCAGATATAACCCAAAGAGATTTTACTAAAGTTTGATTCAGACACTGTTACAATATTTTTAAAGCCATAAATACATTTAACTGATATTTTACTGGCTTTTTTCTTAAAGTATTTGAAGGCTTACGAAGAAAAAAAGGCAGCATCTTTTCAAGGTGACTAAGCCTTCCATCCTTTAGACAAATGGGAAGTATTCAATGGTTCATATTAATGAGAACAGTACTTTAAAGGGCACTGATGTGATCATCTTTAACAGAATGCATTACTTTAAAATGAAAACATATATTCGGCATGTCTACTTCAAAACAGTTATGGGGGAAAAAAGACCTAAAAGTAGGTAACAGATTATAAAGAAAAGTCTTAAATTCAGAAAACACACATACACATACATTCAAAAAGTAAGGATAGAATACTCTGTGAAAAATAAACAACGGTTTACAGGAAAAATGAACCAGACAAAAAAAGAACAGAAGATCACCGTTTCAGGCTATTTGTTAATCTACCAATTTGAAAGGTAAGGCTTGCTTGAACTAACACTTTATTATCTTCATATCACAGAAATACATTTCACTTCATTCCTTTATAAAATTTAGTTTTTCTCCTGTCTTATTAAAAACCCCAGGGTTGAGATGCTCATCCCCTTCTTAGGTACTCCCTTCCATATTTGGTGTGATTTTGAATAAAGGGAAACTATAGACCAGTATGTCAAGCTAAAACAAAAGCAGCCATGTAAATATTGCTTGCTCCTTCTATAAGTTTCTTTGCTGACCCTGGTATAATTCATTTTTATAAAATCTTTTTTTTTTTTCAACTCAGGGAACAATATTGCAGCCTGGCAGTTCACATACTGATATCAGACTGAAATGATGGTTCTGAATCATAAAACATGTCATCAACTTTATACCAAGCCACCAATAACCTTTGTACCATTTGCCAACCCTCCCTTTACTTGTCAATGTAAGGCTTACCTGATTGTGTTTCCAATTACAGAGAAGGGAGCCCCTGCTCTGCAAGCTGCAATTGCTTCATCTCTACACCTCCTGGCAACCTCCACTAACTTTTTACCACATTCGTCCACATTGCCCACCAAAAATGTTTCAGAGGTGTCTCCATGGTAGCCATTGTAATAGACCTAAACATAAGCAGAAATTTAAAAATATGTCCTTGTTTAAAAATCTACTTTCCTAAAGTATACATTGTATTCATTTATGTATTTAGTAGACTCATGTTTTACCCTTCCAGAATTATTCATTTGCCTATCAAAAAAAGAAGAAATAGATATATTGAAACCTTGCAGAAATTTAAAAGATGAAGCCATGCAATGATATTGCAAAATTTAAAAACAACTATGTTAACTAGTATGGTTATTTCAGCATTATGATGAACAATACTACTGTAATATTTTGATTCCTCACTTTATTTCTGAGAAGACAAAATTATATAAGCAAAAATTAGTAGCCAAAGACCTTGATCTACAATTACCACAACAGGTTTAGAGAACCAAAAAGTATTTAACATAGTGAAAAGTTTCTTCAATGTCATGAAGACTTACTTGATTTTGTATTTACCAGTTCTACATTTGAAGTGATATATAATGACAAGAAGAAGTAAGATAGACATGTCTGTATTCTAACAAACAAATAGGAGAATTCAGTTCTAAGAATTGAAGTGGTTCCATATAGGAATGAAATGTGTTACAGAAAAATCCTATGTCTAGAAGTGAAATCTTAATCAAATGTTCCAGACAGCCGAACGTTAACAGAAAGCACTATATATGGATATCTAAAGAATTAGAATATAATAAAACAAGCTTAAAAGCACAATTACAGAAAGTATAATTTTATCAGTCTTCAGTGATTCAGAAGCCAAGTAGGATCTTGAAAGATACCAGATTCATTATAAATCATTGATAACCAAGCACTATAGTAAATATAAAAGGCAGAGGCAACTGTTTGGATACTGATCCTTTGATGTAGCATGGAATTTGCTACTTTGCATAAATTTGTCCTATCTAATTATTTTTCACATTTCTCTTGCTCATAAGGTAGAATGTAGAAACTGTTATAAAAAAGATGTTTATATGAGCTTTCAGTCTGTTGTGATACTGAATTAATGTCTTAAATCTGTATACTACTCTGCATTTCTTAAAAAATGCTCTCATATTCTGTGAAGGAAGCAAGAAAGGTCTTTATTAGATCTTCAGTTTATAATTCAGGAAACTGAGGCACAGATAAGTAACTTGTTTAAGGTTGGTGGCAGAATATAGAGGTAGATTCAGGTTAATATGATGGATTATTGGCTTCTAATCGAGTGTTTTCTCTACTATATCAAATTATCTTAATTACCTTGCAACAGAATAGTGTTTTATACATTTACTCCCACTTACAGTCCTTTGCAATCCAGGAAAGTATGAGTTTTTATTTTATACACTTGGCAGTATTTCACTTTGCTTCATAGGTTTTACAATTTTGAAATAGTTTGAATGTTAATAATGAAACTATTAAAAGTCTTCAGGAAACTTAGAAAAGGAATAGAGTATTCTCTTTGGACACATTGGAAACAGTAGGGAAGACTATGCTGATTTCGTTCAAAAATTCAAATTTTTATATTCTTATATTTCATTCAAAATACAAGAATACTATTTCAAAATACAAAATACGATTTCATTCAAAATACAAGAATATAAAATTTGCTAATATAGGCGTAGTCAAGAAAATGTATAAATGAATGTTTATATAACTGCTTTTTAAGTAAAAATGTACTATTTTAAAAAATCTTTATTCATCTTTTCATATTACTTTTTCCTAGCTTTGAAAATGATTACTTGAGGCTGGGTGCAGTAGCTCACGCCTGCAATCCTTTGGGAGGCTGGGATGAGAGGATTGCGTGAGACCAGGAGTTTAAGACCAGCTTGGGAAACATAGTGAAACCCCATCTCTACAAAATTAAAAAATTAACCAGGTGTGGTGGCACACGCCTGTAGTTCTAGCTACTTGGGAGGCTACGGTAGAAGGATCACTTGAGCCCAGGAGTTCAAGCTTACAGTAAGCCATGATGGCACCACTGCACTGCATCCTGAGTGACAGAGCAAGACCCTATATCTGAAAAAGTAAAAAAAGAAAAGGAAACAAAGAAAAAGAAAAAGAAAGGAAGGGAGGAAGGGAGGGAGGAAGGGAGGAACGAAGGAAGGAAGGAAGGAAGGAAGGAATATCAAAATGACTATTTGAGACTGGTGCAGTGGCTCACACCCATAATTCCAGCACTTTGGGAGGCGGAGGTGGGCGGATCACTTGAGGTCAGGAGTTCAAGACCAGTCTGGCCAACATGGTAAACCCAGCCTCTACTTAAAATACAAAAATTAGCTGGGTGTGGTGGCGTGTGCCTGTAGTCTCAGTTACTGGGGAGGCTGAGGCAGGAGAATCACTTGAACCCTTAAGGCGGAGTTTGCAGTGAGCTGAGATCCTGCCATTGTGCTCCAGCCTGGGCAACAGAGGGAAACTCCGTCTGAAAAAAAAAAAGACTACTTAAAAGATTCACTATATACAGAAATACAATACTTTTGAAAGTCTGTGGCAGTCATCTACAATTTCTATTTATACCCATAAACTAGTACTTGTACTTCATTTATTTATTTATTTATTTTTTGAGACAGAGTCTCGCTCTGTCACCCAGGCTGGAGTGCAGGGGCGCGATCTCAGCTCACTGCAACCTCTGCCTCTCAGGTTCAAGCAATTCTCCCTGCCTCAGCCTCCTAAGTAGCTGGGATTAGAGGCTCCTGCCCCCACACAGGGCTAATTTTTATATTTTTAGTATTTTTAGTAGAGATGGGATTTCACCATGTTGGCCAGGCTGGTCTTGAACTCCTGACCTCAGGTGATCCGCCTGCCTTGGCCTCCCAAAGTGCTGGGATTTCAGGCATGAGCCACTGCGCCTGGCCCTTGTACTTCATTTAACAAATATTTATTGAGCAACTACTATGGACATCGCATTGTCTTTAAGAAAAACATTTTTCAGTTTTAAAGGGGGGAAGGAAATCTAATTTCTTGTGATGTATACTAGACGTCAATAATTCTAAGATGCAATGAGTATTTTCTGATAGAAACATAGGATCTGATAATGGAGTCCTTCACTTAATAAAATATTTTATAAGAAATATAATTTGTTAAGATATGGACCTATATGTTTCCTAGATTCCTTCACATTTCTAGACACTTGGAAATATTTCACTTTGCTTTATAAGTTTTGCAATTGTGAAGTAATTTGAATGTTAAATACAAAACTGTTTATTAAGTATTCAGGAAACTTAGAAAAGGAATAGAGTATTTTCTTTGGACACACTGGAAACAGTAGGGAAGAGTAGTTGATTTCATTCAAAACATTAAAATGGTAACATTTCATGATAGGGTGACTAGATGAGAAAATAGATGTAAAACCGTAAAATCAGGTACAATCCAAAATAAAAGTGTCTCATGAAAAGAACTCTGTTTTAGGTATACTTCATAAAATACCTCCTTCCACATGATTCTGAGTTGGAAAGATACCAACAGGATGTATGTGGTGCAAGTGTTCAAGCATTTTAAGTAGGATAAAATGATACAGGAAATAGCATCAGCAATGAAAGAATCGTTGGCTATCTCCTCATATGATTGATATGAAGAAAAAAGGTTTAGTTAACTTAAACTAAAAGTCAGACTGAATTCCACCATTGGATTCCTATTTTTATCTCATTCCCACTCCTACTTCAGTTTCATGGTCTAGATACTATTCTTAAAAACACTTCCTTATTAATAGAAATTGTATTCCCTGAATATTGTCATTTCAACTAGTTCTCCTAAGATGTTTAAATTTTGTTTATTTATTTAAAATGTATTTGTTAATCATTAGATGTACAGAATTTATTTATAATCTAGGTAATCCAAAGGTATCATTACAAAATTCTTTAATAAACAGAAATGTAAAAGCACATATAATCCAAGTCTGAGAATGGTAAAAGGCTAAGAAAATGAGAAAAAGCTACATCTTGTACAATTTGAAGTCCCTATGATAAATTACTTAGGCTTGTTACTTAAAAGAAAGGCTATTAACCATTTGGTGAAAACTTAAGTTCAGACAAAAAAACCACTCTGCTTACTTTGAGCACAAGGCTCTCTATACCAGAAATGGAACTCAACGTTACCTTCAGGGATTTTAATAAATCTAGGGAACACTGCTAGCAAAAGAGTTGCTGTCCAAATAGACTGACATACACAGGCCAATGTAGCCCCTAATGACAGAGTAAGATAATGACAGGCCCCACTCAAAATCAGCAGGAAGAGGAAGATCAATCTTGGCAGAGTGAAGGAAAAATGCTGGCTTTCTTCGTGTTAGCTCATCTCATACATATCTAGCTTCAGCAGCTGCCCAGTGCTGTGGTGCTCTGCGTTAACTACACAGTGGATCAATAACAATTACACCTTCTCAAAAACATGACACATAGCAGGATTGGGTTGACATTTCACTTAGGCCAACATTGATCTCAGTGCATCTGATTGCAGCCCTAAATTCAAGTCAGGCCTGGGTTTACTTGGAATAAACACAGAGTTAAAGACAAAAAAGGAAACCAGCTGCTTGCGTCTGGGTCTAGAAGTAAACAGCACTTCCACTGGTGCAGTTCACATTTTCAATCCACTCTTCCTGTTGCTACCAGCAATTCTGAAGTTGATCAAAGACAATTTTTTATATGATTTACTCACTGTGACATCAATGTTGATAATATCTCCATCCTGAAGAGGTCGACTAAAACGTAAACAGAAAAAAAAATGGTGATAGACAGATCTCAATAAAAGGAAAATAAAAATAAATACTTAATGACTACTGTCACAAACCCAATGGGATGCAGTGATAATTTGGAGTGAAGGAGGACTACACAGGATAACTAAATCTAATCTTTATTTCAAAAGATGCACTTAATTTATTACCTTAATTTTGCCAAGAACCAAAACAAGAGTTGATAAGAAAAATTTGCCACATTTGAATTTTACCACTTATATGATTAAAATCTAAGAAGTAAAAGACATACGTAATGCACAACCCCCATTTAGATTATGCACTGCTTTAACAAACATTAAATGGTGGTGGTGTATCCATTTAGAAGTAAAATACTTCAAAATTTCTGTTTTATCATAATCAATTTCAGAAGTTTACCGGTGGGTTTCAATTGAATGATAGTGTCTTTCAACATATGTTACAGATCTTAGCTTCATGTTTTAGTTTCCAAAGGAACAATATGTTATTAAGAACTGAATACCTGTCAGGAATACCATGACAGAGCACGTTGTTTACAGAGGTACAAACAGATTTTGGAAAACCTCCATAGCCTAGAGGTGAGGGATAGGCATTATGACTGATGATTTCCCGATGAACAAGAGCATCTATCTCTTCAGTTGTCATGTCAACCTAAAATGTTAAATAAAGAAATTGTGCAGCAACAATTGAAGACATTTCTTGTATTTATCAACTATGCTATAGCAACAGTACTTCCATGTGAGACTGTATAAATTTACTATGATAAAGTTATGGTACAACATTTGAATTAATTATGATTAGTGTTAGAATCCTCAACTGTGCCTTGTGGACAATCATTTGGGCATATGATGGTGTTATGGACCATTAGGAAATAGAAATGTTAAACCCTACGATCCTCTAAATCATTTGTGAGTCATTAAATGACATAACTCCCTTTTGGCCTGAGGATTTCAAAATTATGTTCTTCGGCAATTCCTTACTCTTTCTCAATGATTGGTGCCCTGGGCTACCCAGCGCATGTGAATAAATGCTCAAAAGGTTCATCAGTTGAACCTTGAAAAGCTTGAAAAGTAGGTCAACTCGCATCTTTTTATCTCAGTAAAACATTACAGGGGTTTTGCAGCAATGGCACAGAGATTATGGTTGATATTTAAAAGAGTGAGTCTAATATAGTTTGTAGAGATTTGATTTTAAGTAATCTTCATTTCTTTCATGTCTAAATAAATGTAATTTTTAAAATATTTTTTCCTTACTAAAGGTATTCCAAACTAAATTGCTCCCAAACTAAAAGAAAACTGAAATTGAGTTTTATAAGTATATGAAGACTATTTCCATAAACTCCATAAACATAAATAAAATTCTAAAACAAAAATAAAATCTTTTATTAAAAATTAACCATTTCTTCAATAATTTTCTTCATTTTGTATATATACATTATGTTTAGCCGTGTTGTAAGTTTATTACACAGAAGATACTGTGAGTGATTTTATCTTTGAGTCTCACTTCCTAAATTCTGCCCACCTTTTGGCAGAAAATAGGCTCATATTTTTCTTTTATAATCCTTATACAGAAGGGTGCTTCAGATTATTATGAAAGAACTAAATGAAAGAACTAAATCTTTTTTTTTTTTTTTTTGAGATGGAGTCTCACTCTGTTGCCCAGACTGGAGTACAGTAGCATGATCTTGGCTCACTGCAACCTCCACCTCCTGGGTTCAAGTGATTCTCCTGCCTCAGCCTCCCAAGTAGCTGGGACTACAGGTGCCCGCCACCATGCCTGGCTAATTTTTATATTTTTAGTAGAGGTGGGGTTTCACCATGTTGGCCAGGCTGGTCTCGAACTCCTGACCTCAAATGATCCACAGCCATGAGTCACTGCGCCTGGCCTAAAAGAACTAAATCTTGTAGTAGGAAGTTGTATGTAATTACACTGCTATATTACCTACAGCTTTGTGTATGTGATCTGATCTTTCTTTGCAGGGCAAATGCAAGAAAATAGGAGACAAAGGACAAGGTAGAGCAAATCTTCAAGCACACAGAAATAATGTGGGGAGTAAAAGCTGAAACTACAGGCAGGAGTAGGGGGGCAAAAATCAAAGCTGTCTGCCATTGATCAACTTGGATAGGTTGACTGAGACCAAAGTATCTCTAGAATTCTGCTAGTTAAAATTGAATTTGGATTTTAAATTACTTCTTGAATAAACACATAAAATAATAAAATTCCTTTTCCCCATCCCAAGGCTTTACTTAATTTTTAAAAACAAATTAATTTAAAACAAATAAATTTTTAAAACAAATTAGATGTCAACCTAAAAGAAGAGTTAAGGAGAAGGAAAAAAAGAGGAGTGTTTGTTGCCCCTTATGTAAGTCGTTCTGAGGCTTGGTGAGACGCCACCTTTAAACTCTTCCCAGCCAAGAGGAGGACGTGGCGGGCCAGCTGACAAGCCTGATGAAGCCCTTGAATCTGATCTTCATTCTTAACTTCTATGCTGTCTCCCCAGTCTGGTACAATGCCTGTCGTCACATAGTCTGGCTTCTTTATGTGCTTGAGGAAAAAGGATTGAAAACGAAGATCAGAACCCAGCGCACGACAATGGGATCATTTTTTCAGACACAGCCTCCTGCTTCATGGAGCTCTGCCCTTCCTGCCGGAGCACCGACCTCCGAAGCCAGCACAACAGACCCTCCAGGCTGCCCCCAGTTCCTTCCCCTGCCCTTTTGAACTTAACATTGCCTGTTAGTGCTGCCTCTGGATGGTCTGTTAACCTTACCATGCTTTGAGTCAAACTGGACTGAAGTAGACTTCTGGTCAAAACAAACAGTAGTTTTCTCTTTTTCCTCCTCCCAACCCAGTTAGAAGCATATTCACCATTGATGAAAAATAGCACCAAGCTTCCAATTCACCAAATGGTTAATTAAGAGCACTTTCATCTTCTTAACACAAAAATATAATTTATGCAAAAGATAGCTCCCAACACCCTCTCAAAATGAACATATGTAAAAAGGCTGACTATCAAGTTCCCTAAAGCCTATTACATATACACTTTTCTTACATTTTGCAACCGTACTTACACTGAGACACTAGAATAAAATGAAACAAGTTTTATTCTTCAAATACATAAAAATTACCTAGAACATTTCCATTATTTGTCAAGAGTAAACAAAAAGCCACCCCAAAACTCAAGACGTGCAACCCTGATCACTTTTGCAGACCATTCTCCACCATGGGCAGTATTCAGGAAATAAATACCATCTTACACACAAAGCTTCTTTCAGTCCCAAGGTTTTGCACAGCTCTTTACAAACTATTTATAGTTTATAATGCATTACAAACTATAAGCATTATTGGACAGTCCACAGTTAGGCTCCACAGCAGTTTGGGACAGGAAGCTGAGGGAGATAACACTCTTCAATTGAAACATTGCAGCAGCTCTGGAAGGGCTGAGGTTAGGGCTCTCTTCTTTGTGAAGCCTGTCCTGCAGGAGTTACGGGTCTTCACTTGCTCCCCTGTTCAGATGGGTTTTCTGATACAGGTAACACTACTGCCTGGTTTGCCACAGCTGAGCTCCAGAGGAACATCTACTCTCCCACAGCTACACCACAAATGCCCACAAATGCTCACCAGGTCTCCCCCAAAGAGCCTGTGTTCTTGTCTCCACTCTGCTCTGTGATCTGGCAAGGTTATAACTTGCAGGCAGAAGGGCTGTTGGGCTGTCATGCTGAAATTGACTGAAATGGCTAAAGCAATACAATTCACCTCACCAGAGATTTCTTTTTCTTTTCTTCTAAGGAAAAAAGTGTCAGTTTTGTAACTAATACCAAATTCTCACTCTCACTGTGATGGCCAGGCCAGGGGATACATCCTGGTGGCCCTTCTGTGTCACTGGCCTTTGCCATAAAAGTGGGCCACTCACCTTCAGAAGTATAACATACTAAATATGGGCTCGCTGTAAACAAAGTTCATAAAAGGGAGAAAGCAGATGATTTTTGTGACCAATCTATATTTCTTTAGCTACTCTCCTTCTTCCTAAAGGGCTCACTCGCACACTCCCTTTATATTGCATTTTGAAAAATGGATAGATTGCCTTTCCACAGAATTGCAATCTCTGAAAAAAAAAAGCCAAGACTGCTCTGAGACATATTTTATTTAATTTAGTCTAAAAGACAATTCAAAGACACCAGCATCAATAACAAGGAAAATGTAAGAACAGGCTTAAAAAAATCTAGTATGTTAGTTTTAAGTAATCTCTTTTGAATCATCACAATTTTATAGTCAATTTTTTTTCTCTAAAACAGTTAGAAAACTACATACGTATAGTTTTATCTTCATGTTAGAAATTTAATATAGAAAATTTCATGTTAAAAATTTTAATTCTAAATACTCTAAGCAATTGAAAGCTTAGAGCTTTGTTTTAAAAAATTAATGCTATAGAATTGCAGGATATTAAAACTTCTCAAATCACAGTTTTAGATCACAAACCTAGTTTGAAAATTAAAACCCAAATGGCTCAGAAATCAAAGGTGCAAAAATATTTGATCACTTCTGCAGTCAACTTTTATCTTGGCTGGAAAAAGCAGGAGATAATAGGCAATACAGTACCTTAGGAACCGGATGAGCTGAAGAAACTGCAGCCGGCAAAACTATACTGTGTGAAATATCTCTTTGTCTCCGAAAAAAGAAATTTCTTCTTTGTTGACTGCTTGACTGCTTGTGTAAGTAGATATGATTGAGTGGTGAAGAGAAAATTCTATGAGAACCTGTGAGCAGAAACAGACATATTTTAAGTAAAAAAACAACCTAACACAGTCCTCCACTTTAAGATGTTGTGGTGTTGTCTATTAAATCATTATTCTAATACCTTATTGACTGAAAAAGGAAAAGCCCCAAATAGAAATGAAAACAGTGGTATTCTGAATTCTAGTACAATAGTAACACAGCGTATTTATTAGCTAATACTATGTTTACATAAATGCGTGACAATGGAAAACTCTACTCTAACGGGAAACAAACATATAGAAACATCTGCTAAGCACCAGGTCTGTAAAAAGAACAATTTCTGCTGTAATACCTTATGTGGCAATGTCCAAGACGACCCTAGATTCAGGGCACTGTTTTGATGGCTTTATACTCTGTAAAGCCGTTTCCTTTCAAGAATCACGGACAAATTGCCAGCTGCACTTTTTGCCCTCCATAGGATTACTACTCTGTGTTAAGTTCACGTGCAGTGAGGCATTATACTGAAATTCATTGTGATGAATGTTCAAGTCAGATAAAGACTAAATAGCAAAAATGTAAGTATAACACTGAAAGAAAATGAATATAGGGTTTGAAGTACTCACAACAGGAATTTAGAAATGTCTATCAAAATTTTAAATGCACATATCCTTTGACTCAGCAGTTCATCTCCTAGGACTTTATCCTGCAGACACTATGCACTGATGGATGAATGAAGATGTACCCTCATGGCAGCATTATTTGTGGTAGAAGAAAGTGGGAAACAACTCAAATGTTTCCAAATAGGAAATACCAGTAGGGGACTGATTAAATATATTATGGTATACTTACAGAAAATTCTGGAGCTATTAAAAAGAATAGGCTAAATCATCATCTCTATGTGTTGATATGGAAAGAGGTCACAATACACTGTTAGGAAAAAAGTGAATGCTTAACAAATACATATAAAAAGCCCATTAATGTAAAAGGAGCTTATACATTTATATAAGCTTGCACGTGCTCATAAAATTTCTGGAAATTGATATTTGTAAACAGTGGCTCTTTCTGTGGCTTGTGGTTGGGGCTAGAGGTAGAGAGGAAGACTTTTTTTTTTTTTTTTTTTTTGAGACAGGGTCTTGCTCTGTCGCCCAGGCTAAGGCAACAGTGGTGCGATCATGGTTCACTGCAGCCTTGGATTCCCAGGCTCAAGGAATCCTCCCACTTCAGCCTCTTGAGTAGCTGGAACCACAGGCACATGCTACCATGCCTGGCTAATTTTTGTATTTTTTGTAGAGATGGGGTCCTGCTATGTGGCCCAGGCTGGTTTTAAACTCCTGGGCTCAAGCGATCCTCCCACCTCGGCCTCCCAAAGTGTTGAGGTTACAGGCGTGAGCTACTGCATCCAGCCAGGAAGACATTTTGATTCATTTTATTACTTTCATATTTAGAACAATCTTTTTTTTGTTTTTTGTTTTTTGGTTTCTTTTTTTTGAGACGGAGTCTCACTCAGTCGCCCAGGCTGGAGTACAGTGGCGCGATCTTGGCTCACTGCAACCTCCGCCTCCCAGGTCCAAGCAATTCTCCTGCCTCAGCCTCCAGAGTAGCTGGGACTGCAGGCGCGCACCACCAGGCCCGGCTAATTTTTTTGTATTTTTAGTAGAGACGGGGTTTCACCATGTTGGCCATGCTGGTCTCAATCTCCTGACCTCGTAATCTGCCCGCCTTGGTCTCCCAAAGTGCTGGGATTACGGGCGTAGCCACCGCGCCTGGCCAGAACAATAGTTTTAGAAGTCCCCAACAGGTCACAACTACATGGCAGGGGTCAGAAAACTACAGCTCAAGGGCCAAATCTGGACTGCTGACTGTTTTTATACAGCACAAAACCTAAAAATGGTTTTTACATTTATAAATGGTTGAAAAAAACTTTTTAACCCAATATTTTGTAATACATGAAATTCAAATCTTGGTGCCCATAAATAAAAGGTTCATTGGACCATAGCTACCCTCATTTGCTTACAAATGTCTATGGAGGATTTTGAGCTACAGTGGTAGCTGAGTAGTTGTGAACACATGTTCCACAGAGCCTAAAAAATGTACTCTTTGGCCCTCTACAGGAGACATTTGCTGAATCCTGGTCTAGAGCAGTAGTCCTTAAAATGAGGTTCACAGACCAGCAGTATAATGTCACATAGAAAAAAGATGCAAGGCTGAGTGCGGTGGGTCACGCCTGTAATCCCACACCTTGTCTCTACTAAAAATACAAAAATTAGCCGGGCATGGTGGCGCGCGCCTGTAATCCCAGCTACTCGGGAGGCTAAGGCAGGAGAACTACTCGAACCCGGAAGGCAGAGGGTGCAGTGAGCCAAGATCGCGCCACTGCACTCCAGCCTGGGTGACAGAGCAAGACTCTGTCTCAGAAAAAAAAAAAAAGAAAGAAAGAAAGAAAAAGAAAAAAGATGCAAATTCTTGGGCCCCGTATCGACCTACAAACATAGAAACTGGTGATGGAGGCGGGCAATCTGTGCCTTAACCAGCCCTCAGGTAATCCTGACGCACACGAAGCTTGAGAACTGGCCTAGAGTAACATTTCAGCTGTGAAACATAATGAAAACGTGAATTGCAGGTAAGTACTGGCTTCAAAACTCTGGATCTCTAATTGACTTGGGGAAAGGCACTGATGCAAACAAACCGCAATGATCAGTGATTCAGGGTGATAGGTTTCACTCAATTATGTCCCTCCTTAAAGTGGACTGCAATATTGTTGAATCTAACTTATAGAGGTGTTTTTGGTACTATTTTAAACAATTTCAAGCACTAGACAAAATGTCAGTAATATCATTTCTTTAAAAAGAAGTTACAAAACTCAGGTACAGTGGCACATACATGTAGTCCCAGCTACTTTGGAGGGCAGCTGATGTGGGATTGCTTAAACCCAGGAGTCTGAGACCAGCTTGGGCAACAAAGCAAGACTCCTGTCTCTCTAAAAAAAAAAAAGTTGCTTGATAGAGGCAGGTATGTATTGTGTAAAGCTTTTAAAGTATAATATTTCCCTAATGACAATATCACCAACCCTAGTATTGTCAACTGATATATGAGGGACAGGGTAGTGTCCTAGGAAAAGCAGACAGTTGGAAGGCAGAAGCCTGGACTTTTGTTTCAGCTCTACCACTTATTAGCTGTGTGGCCCTGCACAAGTTTCTTCATTTCAGTCTCAGGTGAGAATTGAAATAAGAAATGTGAAAGTGTCTTGCATTTAGAAGATACCCAATAAATAATAGTTCTTTCAAGAATACATAAAAACCTGTAATCCCAGCGCTTTGGGAGGTCGAGGTGGGAGGATCGTGAGATCCCATCTCTACAAAAAATAAAAGAATTAGCCAGATGTGGTGGCTTGGGCCATCAGCTACTGTAGTCCAGCTACTCAGGAGTTCAGCTACTCAGGAGTCAGTCCAGCTACTCAGGAGTCCAGCTACTCAGGAGGCTGAGGCAGGAGAATCACTTGAGCCCTGGAGCTATGATCACTGAGTTATGCACTGAGCTATGATCACACCACTGCACTCCAGCCTGGGCAACAGAGTAAGATCCTGTCTCAAAAAAAAAAAAAAAGTCTGCACAAAAAATAAAATGGGAAAGAAAACATGACCTCCAGTATAGCTTCTAATACTGAACACTTATTATGCCTCAATTACTGTACTAGGCACTTTACATATGTTAGCTCATTAATCTTCACAGAAACTGTATGAATTGTGAACTGTTATTACTCCATGTCACAGTTGAAGATACTGAGGCACACAAAGGAACATGCAGTAAGTGCCAAAGCTGAGAGGGAAAGCAGGCTAAGTTGCCTCTACAAAATGTATTACTTCTCTCACAGGCATGAGAAAAAACAGGAGCTAAAACACAGGGAAATACCCAGAAAATTGAAAAGGCATCACAAAACTATTGTTACTACTACTATTATTTTTCCAAAAGTGGTGATGGGTTGGCCTAATCCACCCACTACCTTAAGCCAAGCTGCCTTCGCTGACCAAACACACGCTTTGGGGAGGTGGCTGCCAGAACTATTAGTTGGACAGTCTGTGGATATGAAATGGAAAATTTGGAAAGACACAGGTGGACTCAATCTATGATTCCACCTCCCTAATTGCATTGCTAGGCAGGACCACATACAAGACACAAACTCACAAGTGTTTCTCTTCTGAGGAAAGTATTATAATTACTATTAATAATGATAATGCTAATATAAATAGTAATAATAACAGTGGTTAAAATTTAATGGACACTTAGATTAAGCTCAGTGCTAGGTGCTCTACATACATTACCTCTTACCAGCTCTGTCATTAGGCAGGTAGCTGTTAACATCACTGCTTTATAGATGAGGAACTAAGGCTCACAAGTCTGGTAATCAATGACCAGGCCCCAAGCTTAATCCTGTAAATCCAAATCCAGGGCTGTGTCTGCCATTCCAGTTGCCTCTCAGCAGTGTGCAGGGGCTCTATGAGTTCTATTCGCTAGTGTGTTTTGTTACATAATGTATTCTTTCAGGGACTAGATTTCAAGGTCAGTTTTTTTTATCATGAAAAATGTAAATATCATGTAACTAGTTAGCATTTAGAATGAAGACACTTTTCATGAAAATTCTTAGAAATGATCCAGTTGGGAGGCACTATGGTAGTGACAACAGCATGAGCTTGGAGGTCAAACAGGTGTGAGTTACCAAAACTTCTGAGACTCATTTTCTTCACTATTAAATGGGAGTAGTAGTGCTCTCCCTACCACGAGCTGATGTGAGCATTTGCTGAGATAACATAAATAGGTAAACCATCTTTTAAAAAATAGGTGCTCCATAAATGCTCCTTTCTTTTCCTTTTCCTTCTCCATTCTTCAACATGTTTACCTGTGGGGTCTCTAAATGCCTTCATTCATTCAACAACTACTTAATGAACTCATTGCATGTGCCATGCTCTGGATTAGAGAATTCAGTGGTGAATGAGGTGACAAGGTCCCGACTCCCAGGGAGCTTACATCCTTGTAGTGGGAGGCAGACATAGGCAAATCAACAAATGCATTTGATTACATCAGACAGTGCTATGCATGATGAAAAAATAACCAAAGTGGCACAGCATTGGACAGAAAGTTCTACCCCTGGTCCTGCTAAGAGCTATGTGATCTTGAGCAATAACAATAACAGTGGATGCTGACTGACCAAGAGCTTACTGGTGCCAAGCTCGGTGCTGAGTACTTCAAAGACATTACCCTGTGAGATGCAGAAGCTCAGTAAAATGAGAGTTGGGCTTCACAATCTTTGAGGTCCCTTCAGCTCTGAAATGTGTGCCTTCATTCAGCACCATCTGATTGTCATGCTACATCCCAGGAAATGGGAAGATGTAGCCTCTGATCAATTTTAGGACTCATGAAGATTTTTTTCAATGTGGTTGATTACACAAAAGATCATCTTTATCAGTGTTATCAAGTTCAAGTACACAGTCATTATAGGGGGAATCTTTTCTATGTACTTAAACTTGAAGCATGAAGTCATCAGGCCTCCACTAGATATCTGGATGAGGCTTTTGAGACATTCACTTTTAGGATGAACAGTGTTGCCAAGGTACCTGTCCTGCCAAATGACAGCCTCACTGCCGAAAAGATGCAGACACACCCACACATGACTGGATGGTAAAATTCGAAACGTCAGGAACACAGCCTGAACATATCCAATCTGTTGACAATTATGGTTCTACACTGTATTCAGCAATTTCACTTTCATAAGACACTTTTGTATTTGAAACGAATTCTTTTCTTTCAATCTGATGAAAGACACCCTTACAAATGTTGTCACAAGGCAACAGGATAATAAGGTGCCATACTGTGTTTATTCCACTAACTACTCATTACAAATGATTCCATCTTTTTATTAGAAATAAAATCTGGTGTTTTCACAGGGGAAATGAAGAAATGGGCATAAGTCATGGTACCTTTAGAAGATAATGGTCCTCCAACTAGCCTGGCAAAGAAAGAGGGGCGGGCCCTCAACTTTGTTTATCACAATACAAATAAGTAGTAAATTTTCTAAATGCAGAGTGAGCAAAATTAAAATCCCCAGTCTCTATTATATTCAGGGTCACAGAAAGGATACCCGAACTACAGTAACTAATGTAGATCAATGTAGAAATGGTCTCTTGAATTTCCTATATAATTCATTTCTTGACAAAAGCACTGCTGATACCTTATAACTACATCTAATTTCCAAATTGCTACCACCAATGTTACAACAAATTTGATGCATGATGACCATCTTCAGAGACAGAAATAGTCCCTCCGTCTCCCACACACTATCATTCATTCAGGATTCACTGCACACGGTGTTTTGGTAAAGCTATTTGGGGAAACAAGACTCAGGTGTGTACTAATTACTACAAGGGGCAAGTGGACTAATCTGATGTTTTTAGAGACACCAGTGGGAAATCACCAGAAACCTCAGGGGAGTAGGAGAGCCCAGAACAGTGAGGAGTTGCTTTATACTAATTTGATCTTGCAAGAGATGATCGTAGTATTGCTACTGTTGATGACCTAACAGCAACTCTATATAGGGTTTTCTTAGGGAGTAAATCTACATGTTATTTTTTATGAATACTAGAATAGTTACTGTTATCAAAGGTAATAATAAGAATTATTTTTAGTGTTACAAAAATTCTATCAGCACCTAGTCTGAGTTGAACGCTGAAAATTATAGGCAACTTCTTCCTGCACTCCATGGAAGAGCACACTGTGCAGTCTGAACATCTCTTGAAATTGCTCTATGTCCTCTGGATCCTGCAGCACATTTTTTCATATTTAAAATTTGTATTTGGAATGTAAATCTAGGTTATGGTTTTAAATATTTTCATATTCAGTAATAACATCCATTTCTAAAAGCTGCATTTTATTTTCCTTTATAGGTTAAATCTGAAGGTAGGATTATAGAATTCAAGTATGATGGAGGGAGGAATGCATTTTATTTATTTATTTATTTATTTATTTTGAGACAGAGTCTTCTTGCTCTGTCACCAGGCTAGAGTGCAGTAGCACGATCTCGGCTCACTGCAACCTCTGCCTCCCGGGTTCAAGTCATTTTCCTGCCTCAGCCTCCCGAGTAGCTGGGATTACAGGCACCCACCACCACGTCCAGCTAATTTTTGTATTTTTAATAGAGACGGGTTTCACCATGTTGGCCAGGATGGTCTCGATCTCCTGACCTCGTGATCCGCCCACCTCGGCCTCCCAAAGTGCTGGGATTACAGGCATGAGCCACCGTGCCTGGCCAGGAGGAATGCATTTTAAATAACGAATGTTGCTGCACACAACATGCCCTATATTTATTGGCCTCTTACTCAGGGTCCATTTTAATTGTTATCTGCTCATGCATCCTATACCACATAATGAAATGCTTCCATTTCACCCACTGAGCCCTGGGTTTTCATGTGCACCTTTACTAATGACCCTTAATTAAGCTGATTTTATCCCTGAAAATGTGAGTTTTCTTTTGGTCAATAAGTATTTTTAAGGGAGAGGTCTGAATGAACTTTCAAAGAGACATTTAAAATGCTTATTATTTTAAGCAGTTGTAAAACTGAACAAAGTACATTTGTACTCAAGTTTGGACTACCAACACATATATTTTTCATTGTATGTTTCCAGGGAAGCACTTTCACCCTGCAGTGTGCCATCAATCCTCAGTTACGTTACACTGCAGAGGTATCAAATATCTGGGTAGAAAACAACACAATAATGTAGCTTGGCACTACTTTACATTAGCTAACAATGTCAACCAGAGATAATATGTGATTTAAAAGACACCCTGTAAAATGTCTTACTGAATATATTTTTTCATAATGATCAGTAAATGCCAAAGTCTAGTAACAAAACTATTATTTATAGCATGTTAACATCTAATTGATTTTACAAATGGAGGCAATTATTTTGGATGAAGAGAGGAATGCCTGCCAGATTTAAATGATTTATGATTACCAAGAGAGAAAAACAACAATGTTTTGCTAATTCATTTTCAAATATGGTTCTTACATTCATTGATGATTTTAATTTTAAACCAAATGATTTGCTTAATAATATATTAACTTTAACAAGAAAAAAAACCCAACTTACTTTGTGACAGCAATCTGATACATTTTTAACTGTTTAAAAATGTTGCCTCCTACAGTAAGCTCAGAAGGGACTATAGCATAGGAATATATTTTCGGGGTGCTGATTTAGACCCACAGAAAGATCACACTTCATGAACTCCAACCAATTACTCAGAGTAGGAGCACAGGCTCTTACAGCGCTGTGTGCTTCAAGTCCATGAGAACACTGCAAATGCATCCATGCCTTATATTTCTTGACCTAAAACACTGATTGCTTGACATGTTTCATAACTTGTACAAATGTTGCTAAAGAAAAATTAAATAGTCTGCATCACTTGATATAACTCTTTTATTGATTTTTATAATCTAGTACTAAGGTGTACGTTTCAAAATAAATGAGAAAGATTGAAGGTTCCTTCCCATCTCAAGGCAACTATAAAGCAGAAGAGAAGCTCACATTTCATGAGAAATAACCTATGCATTTGCTGAGGGAAAAAAAACCACATGCACTACTAGGGAATGCCCCAGGCTGAAGCAGATACTGATTGGGCAAAGCTAAAGGACAAGAGCCCTTGAAACTAAACAAAAGCAAATTCATCTGTTGACAGATGTTGATTACATCAAAGCAACAAGGAACTCCCCCAATTCCCAATTTTTAAAACAATTAATACAGCTCTATAATCTACACAATAAGGACAAAGTTAAGTTTTTTAACCGATCATAATAAACATTAGTGAACTTGTTTTAAAAGAGTTTCAGTTCAGTTACAGACTATTCTAGTGTGTTTTTAGCTATGGGCTTCTCCAAACAGTGGTTTATTCATTCCCATGGACATGCCTGGGAAGCCAAGCTGGCCATACCATCAGCCCCTTCCTTCCAGGGGTTAACTGCTCTGGCTGCCAAATAAAATACAGAGCGAGCCATGTAATTATGGAGACAGTCAAAGGGCAGGCTCTATTTTGAAATCTATTTGCACAGACAAGGTCTTCCAATTGAACTTACAGGAAACAAGCTGGTAAAGAGCCTCCTTTTCCCCAGATGCTTTCCACACTTTTTCTCCAATGCAGGAAATCGTGGATATGGACACCATACACCACTGCTTCCTGGATTTCAAGCTAAGATGCCATTACAGAGAGAAAAGTGGATCTGTTTCACCAACCTTTAAAAAACATTTTTTTGGCCTAATTAACAGCATTTGGCAACAGCCTCTGGATGATAAAGCCACAGTGTTTATTAAACAACATTTCTAAAGAGGATGCAGGCCCAGTTGGTATGCAGGTGTTGGAAAACAGCTCATTTTCTTTAATGCTGAAAATAAAGCACATAGTTGAATCTAAAATATGTGGGCATAATACTTGTCTGAAATAAATATTCTACTTCACATCCAACCGTGTTGTCCTTGAAGTTATTTTTACTTAAGACCACTAAAACAGTAACAAAGATCCCACAGAAATAAAAAGGAAATGTGTGCAATATTTTAAATGACAAAAAAGTCATAACTCACTTTTATGCTGAAACATAAAAGTTTATCCTAGTTGTTTACTGCTCTAAGTTTGCAATTTTTATGAGGATGCATCATTCTCATATTAAGGTAGGACTGGGTCACTACTACTAATAAAATTCACCTCAAATGAAGTTGAGATGGATACTGGTCTGTAGATGTCAGAATTCATCTACAGCCTGGGAGTCTTGGTTCTAGAAAAGATGAACTGGAAAGTCAGTCACAGAGCGCTTCTGGGGAGAGGAAGGGCAGCAGCCTGAGGGTACCCTCTTCCAATAATAACAACATTTAAGAGTGGTGCCCAGGTCACTGCAAAACGTGACCTTCCCCAAGGCCTAATCAGGAAGTTGGCGCTATACTATATACCTCCTCCTTTAAATAAAATTATCAATAGCAACTGATAGAGTATAACATCAATGACAAGTTCAGAAATGTTTTACGAAAACACTTCATTTTGCTTCTTTACAAAAGCTAAATCTGTTAATATGTGATTATTCACTAATGTACACCACCAGCACACAGGCATCTGTATTTAAAACAAGAAGCATTCCCCTCTTTTTGGGAAACTAAAACACCTCAACCTACTCTAGAAACACAGATCTATAAACATTCCTACTTAATAATATAGGCTCCTGCTTGTGAGTCTAGGAAAAAAAATTCCTTTAGGCTAGCCGAATTATAGCTGGGGGAAGGGTGCCAAAGATTATAGTCAGAACTCAAGTATAAAACTAAAAGCTGATCATTTGGTGGATAAGTAGAAGTTACATAGAAATGTTTAATTTGTACAATAGGGCTATTGCATGGAATTTCTCCATTTGAGACAAAAAAAGTTTACTTCAAAATTTAAATTCATCTTTATAAAGTATTGAGTCACAATGAAATGGTATATACTTGGCAAATCCCATTGTCTCTCAGCTAAAGTTTAGAGAAAAGCAGCTTTTTAGCACTTCAACAATACATATACTCAGGCAACTTCTTGGACAAAGAAATATTGTATCCTTACAGAGGAAATAAAGAAGCTGTTTATTAGGGCCGTGGTTAAAATGTAATAATTCATTCTAGTTGAGCCCTGTGAAAAATGTCATCAAAATATCATTTTCTTTGTCAGATTTTCTGGATGCCTTAATATCATTTAAACACAGAATAAAAGACAAGCTCTCATCAGAGTAGAAGCACAACACTAAAATGAACCAAAACCAAATGCTCTGTCAAAGTTATAGGAAAGAATTTCACACAGTCCTGCTACCCAGGGAATGCACACTTCTAGGTTAGCACAGAACATCTGGCAAATTTCAACCTTCCAAAGTCTCTCAAAAGAAACATTCCTGTTACCTCACACACTTTGGTTAAAGAAGAGGAAAATAGAATGATTTTATATTAAAGCACACAAATCAGAACCAGAAAGAGCAATTTCATAGGAATCACACATGGAACTGAATTTTAGAGAAAGTCTATATAAAAACATCATGAGTTTTTTAAAAAAAAACTGATATAGTAACAAAATCCTTCTTTAATTCTTAAAAAAACCTCCAGACTATTCATAAATACTACTGTCATATACTACTTAAAATATTAGTTATTTTGTATTAAAATGCCCAATAACAGAAGATATGAGGGCTTATAATCTATGATCAAAAGCACAGCTTTAATATATTTTTAAATTACATTAAAGCATTTGAAAAGAGCATGATTTTAGTCTTCATATTACAATAGTGTCAACTGAATTCTAGATACAGCATGCCCTAGGTATATTGCTGGATGTCTTTCTTTCCTTTTTTCTTTTCAATGGGCCATTGAAAGTTATTGCCACACAAGCAAACCATTGGGATGAAATAGCTCAGAGCTTTGACCAAAATTGTAGTATCAATATCAAAAACAAATAAGACAAAAAACAAAAAACCCTACATCTTAAACTTCCTGAGAAGATTTTCACTGTACATCTCTAAGTGAAAGGCATGGGATAGAAAGAAAACATTTGAATATCAATCTTATCGTGGTATTTTGACAACTGTAGGAGTTTTGTCTCTGCCCTGTAACCAGTCAATAGGAGTGGTAAATCGGTAGGTAGATAGGTCAATAATTACTACCTAAAATGAGAAAGCTAATGCTTCAGGAAAACAATATATTTCCAAGCTTCTGCAGTTGAGAGTACACAGATTCAAGACAACAGAAGCCAAGATCACTCATCAAGGAGTTATTTTCAACCAGAAAAATAAAGAGAAAGTATACAGTAACCTCTTTAGTAAAAGCAAAAGCTCCAAATTTTCTGAAGGCAGCTTTTTGGACTGGTATAGTTATGTTGCCCAAATAATTTTACACTCAATTCTACTAGGTATACCTGGTTGACCATATGAATACTCACTCGACAGTTTTTGGTATTAATTCAAAAAGTACAAAGTGTTAAAATGGCACAGGCTTAAAAGGGGAGCTCCATAGATGCCTGCTTACAATTTGGCCCATATATATGTGTATGTGTGTGTATATGTATATAAGTAAACATAAATATAAATATGTATATAAGTAAATATATGTATATAAGTAAACATAAATATAAATAAACATTTATTTAAATATATATACTTATATATTTAAGGATATGAATGTTCAACTATCTGTTACTTTTTGTACTAAAGATTAAAAATTAAGCCAGGCTGACGCCTATAAACCCAGCACTTTGGGAGACTAAGGCCTGTGAATCGCTTGAGTCCAGGAATTTGAGACCAGCCTGGGAAACATGGTGAAACCTTGTTTCTACAAAAAATACAAACATTAGCCAGGCATGGTGGCACACAACTGTAGTCCCAGCTACTTGGGAGGTTGGGGTGGGAAGACCGTTTGAGCCCAGGAGGCAGAGGTTGCAGTGAGCCAAGATTGCGCTGCTGCACTTCAGCCTAGGCAACAGAGCGAAACCCTGCCTTAAAAAAGTTAAAATAAAATAAAAATTTAAAAACGTTAAAAATTAAAACCACCCCAACCACCAAAAAAACATGTACTCTTTATCTGTATATAGCAGGCTGCTTGCTTCTCATATCTGAAAACACATTACTTGAAAACCTTAGCCAACACCAAGATTATTCACACAGTAAAATGACAAATTCATCATCTCATATTTAAAGTTTTTAATATTGCCACAATACCAAAATATTTGATGTGTAAAACATTTGAAACATATTTATTGTCTGAGGGGATGGGACACTTTTTGAAGTATGCTTCTACTGGAGTGTTACAAAGAAACCTCAACTCTTCAATGCCTAATAAGGTATAGTCAATTTGGGGGTAAAAAAGAAGGAAACAGTGTGAAATTTAAAATTTTATATTTTGCTTGTGAATGCACCATGAGAATTTCCTCCAAAAGATATGCCTTCCTATTTATATTCACTTGAGCTCTTGTTTAAATTGGTTTTCCTTCTCTGAGTACTATTGGTTTACTTAAACAAGTTAGTTAAATTCTTTAAGCCTTAGTTTCTTCATTTGTTAATGTGGATAATAATACCTTCCTCACAGGGTTGCTATGATAATTGTATGACATGATATATCGAAAGTGGCATAAGGTAAGCACTCAATAAATGGTAATTACTATCATTGGTTACCTGACTGTGGGAGGAGGTCACTCTAAAATGGACTAATCAGTAGGTAGAAACCAGCCTGAATTTTAAAATGTGCCTTGGATAATCCACAAAGCAAGTAATTCACAAAGTAATCATGAGATCCTAGGTTGGGTCCCAGAGCTGCTACTTAAAAGTGACACCATCCAAAGCACTGGGCCTCTCCTCACTCCATCACAGGGCCAACCTGAACCCCAAATGAGACTGCAGATGTAGAAACACTTTACAAACTGGACAGCATTTCATGATTGTAGTGTATGAGAGAAGGCTCACACTCAGTAGGATGAATTACGGACAGCCTAATTTTGATGTTTTCCTGAGAGTTCCTGCTGGGCCCTTGCTAGTATGCTGATGGTTAATGGTGAGGTCTAAGGAAAATTCCTTCCTACATCCATAAAAGGCCCTGGCTTTTTTCAAGAATCATATCTTTCTAAACATATAAGAATACTTCTTAAATTTGTGCAAAGGGTGGGATGGGAGAAATTATGTTATAGGAAGATTCTACTTTGCATTGAAGACATTCCCTGTAAAGTGTACTATCACAAACAATTTTAAGAGTTAGATCAGAATGCTGCTATTTTGGCTGAGCGCAGTGGCTCACGCCTATAATCTGAGCACTTTGGGAGGCCGAGGTGTGCGGATCCTTTGAGCTCAGGAGTTCAAGGCCAGCCTGGGGCAACATGGTGAAACCGCATCTCTATGAAAAATACAAAAATTAGCCAGGCGTGGTGGCATGCTCCTGTAGTCCCAGCTACTCAGAAGACTGAGGTGGGAGGATGACTTGAGCCCAGGAGGCTGAGGCTGTAGTGAGTGGAGATTGCACCACTGCATTCCAGCCTGGGCAACAAAGTGAGACCCTGTCTCAAAAAAAAAAAAGAATTCAGCCTTTTTTATTCTGTTACTAAATACCATTCAGTCAATGCTGTGCTTAGCCATAAACTTTAACGTTGCCCTTGGTAACCTCAGTTTGTAAGAATTTAAACCTATTTGTCTTGGTGCACAATCTGTTTAGCAGAAATATTTCAGAGCTCAACAAACCTTATTGTTTAAATGTATCAAGAAGTCTTCTTTGCATAAAAATTCCTGTTTATTAAACAGTGATACAGGAAGAACTTATTTACATTTCAAGCACTACCAACATACATCACTTATGACAAAAAAGGCAAGCACTCCATAAGAAATGCTCAATCACTGTCAATCACAAACACTAAAATATACATAAACCAAAGCACGCCGTGTGAACTGTATTAAATTCAGCTAAACACAGAATTACCAACAGAACAAACAAAAAAACAAATAATTACCAGTGACTCACAGACCTATTTACACAATACACAAAATAACTTGGAAAGGTGTAACCATGGAAACCTGATAGCCTAAATTCAGTACCTTTAAATTTTGCATTTATTTAATCACTGTGCAAATGATGTCCTTACAAAATTTAAATATTTTTAAAGCTGTCAAAGCTTATCTTTGTTATTAGATCATTGATTGAAATAGTTTCAGCTATAAATTAGTTATCTTTAAAATTATGCGGAGACCGTTTAATGAAACTATGATAAAAATGTCAAACAAATTTTTCTAATTTTGTCAGAAAACTATTATTTCACAACCACTGATTAACTGAAAAACTCAACTATTTACAGTAAGTCCCATAATAGTCAAGTAATATTAACAGACACTTTCACATAAAGACTTTTCTTAAATTAATACTGTTGCATGCAACCACCTCCACTTCCTCTAATTAACTACTAAAGCAGAAATGCTACTAGTTGTTTTGGTTTAAAAGTTGTTTTTACTGACAATTACCATTTGAAGAGTTTAATATTTAATGCTATAGTTAGTCCTAATATCTTATATTTTATTTCATAATCTAAATGACTAAAACATTATTTTGTAGTTCACTGCCTCCCACACTTAAGCTGTAATGTTCAGTGTGTATTTCATTACGTAGATGAGCAATGGATGTTGTCTGACATGATTTAAATGGGTCAACAGTATTTTCCTAGTCACATTAATCATCCAGACAGCTAAAATGAAAAAAAAAGTCCTTGAAAACTAAAACTAGAGAATCTATTCACACAAATGACACTTTCCATCAGTGGATTATCTAGGATGTGGTTAAGGAGAAGGAAGAGTTACAGACTTTGAACATATGTTTCATCATTTATTCAGAAACCACTTCAAGACCCTAGCTCTATTTTCAGAATCGAAGTAAACACTCACAGAAAGAGATTTCTGAGATACCAAAGTGTAATTAAAAAAAAAAAAAAGCATTACATGGCAATCTTTGAAACTTTTTTGATTCCAGAAAAAAAAAATAAAATTTGGGAAGCCCAGCTCTAAATGAGGCTGAGCCCCAAGAGTAGGGTCAGGCTTATCGTATGTATAAAAATACACAGCAGCATAGGTGCACCAAAATCTCACAAATCACCACTAAAGAATTCCGTCATATATATATATATATATATATATATATATATATATATATATATATACACACACACACACACACACATATATACATATACATACACATATATACATATATACACACATATATACATATATACACATATATATACACACACACACACACACACACACACACACACATATATATGAATGATCCTTTTTTTTTTTTTTTTTTTCCTGAGACGGAGTTTCACTCTTGTTGCCCAGGCTGGAGTGCAATGGCACAATCTCGGCTCACCGCAACCTCCACCTCCCAGGCTCAAGTGATTCTCCTGCCTCAGCCTACCGAGTAGCTGGGATTAGAGGCGTGCGCCACCACGCCCGGCTAATTTTATATTTTTTAGTAGAGACGGGGTTTCTCCATGTTGGTCAGGCTGGTCTTGAACTCCCAACCTCAAGTGATCTGCCCGCCTCGGCCTCTCAAAGTGCTGGGATTACAGGGGTGAGCCACCGCGCCCGGCTTATATAGGATCCTTTTTAGTGGTTTTGGAGCATTCCCTTATACGAAGGGATCACATAGTACCTTATTTAAACAATGATGAGCATTTTGGTAGGTCCTTTTTGTTTTGGTTTGATTTTTTTGCTTTATATAATGTGTTTTTTACAAGTACAGTTGCACAAGTGATGACTTCTTTTTAGTTTAAATGTGTAAAAGTAGTATTTGTGGGTTAAGAAATATGCAAACTTTAACATATTTGCAAAACTGTTCACAAACACTGCAACTTGTCTTCCTAATGATGCCTATTTCCTATACCTTTACCAACAGTTTAATGTTAAAATCTGTTAGTCTGATAAATGAAAAACTGTATCTCACTTTTACTTATTTTTCTTCAGATACTCCTGAGGTTAAAGATATTTTCCTTTGTTTATTTCTGTATCCTCTTTTGTGAAGTCTCCTATTAGGTCTCTTGGGTTGTTTTTCACCTGATTTATTTATTTATTTATTTTTTTTGAGATAAAGTCTCGTTCTGTCACCCAGGCTGGAGTGCAGTGGCATGACCTCCATCATCCAGGTTCAAGAATTCTCCTGCCTCAGCTTCCCAAGTAACTGGGATTACAGGCATGTGCCACCACGACCAGCTAATTTTGTATTTTAAGTAGAAATGGGGTTTCGCCATGTTGACCAGGCTGGTCTCGAACTCCTGACTTCAAGTGATCCACCCTCCTCGGCTTCCCAAATTGCTGGGATTATAGGCGTGAGCCACCACGCCCAGCCTTTTCACCTGACTTATTTTATTTTTATTTTTTAGACAGAGTCTCGCTCTATCACCAAGCTGGAGTGCAGTGGCACGATCTCGGCTCACTGCCACCTCTGCCTCCCAGGTTCAAGCGATTCTCCTGCCTCAGCCTCCTAAGTAGCTGGGATTACAGGTGCATGCCACCACGCCCAGCTAGGTTTTTTGTTTGTTTTGGGTTTTTTTTTTTTTTTTTTGTATTTTTAAGAGAGACAGGGTTTCACCATGTTTGCCAGGATGGTCTTGATCTCATGACCTCGTGATCCACCTGCCTCGGCCTCCCAAAGTGCTGAGATTACAGGTGTGAGCCACCGTGCCCAGCCCACCTGACTTATTTTTAAGAGTATTCTGTGAATTACAAATATTAAATGTGTGTACTACATTGTTTCAACTATCTTTTCAGCTTGCTTTTTGTATTTCCACCATATTTAAAGTGTTTTTGGCCACAAAATTGGGTTTACATTGAATTTATGGATTAATCTAAGGACAATATGACTATAATTTTTTGGGGGGACAGGGTCTTGCTCTGTCACCCAGACGAAGTGCAGTGGTGCAATCATAGCCCACTGCAGTTTTAACTTCCTGGGCTCAAGCAATCCTCCTGCCTCAGCCTCCCAAGTAGCTGGGACTACAGGCACATGCCACCATGCCCAATATTTTTTTTTATTTTGCAGAGACAGGGTCTCACTATGTTGCCCAGGCTAGTCTCAAACTCCTGGATTCAAGTGATCCTCCTGCCTTGGTCTCCCACAGTGCTGGAATTACAGGCGTGAGCCACCATGTCCAGTTGACTCTAAAATATTTAACGTCTTCTTTAAGATAAGAAATGCCTTCACATTTCCTCCAGTGTTCTTAAATGTCCATCACTGGAGATCTAATGTTTTCTCCATACAGGCCTTGTACATTTCTTGTTATTTGTCTATCCTTGGTTTTTTTTAACTCCTTGGTTGCTACAATAAATGAAATTTTTATAATGGAATATAATGCTATTAAATATAAATACAATAATTTTTGTAAAACATTAAACGTACTTTTCTTTAAAAAACTTAAGTTTTAAAAATTGAAGTATAATAGTCTAATGTCATATTTTTATGTTCTTTCATGTATCAAAAATCAAACATACATGCAGACTCACACACTTTCTCCATTGGAGGTTAGTGAGTCGTGACCAAGTGGGGTTGACTTTGCTTTCCATCACTGCCAACTCACCCCTCTCTTACCTTTCCTCTCCCCAAATATTATCCTCCTTCCTTCCAAATATGGAGTGCCTGACTGGATAAACTAACAGGTGTTGGAAGTGCAAACCAAGTGAAGTTCCAATAAAAGAATACTATTTTTTTTGTAAGGATCTGATATTTAAAATATTTCTCATAGCTGGGTGCCTATAATCCCAGCTACTTGGGAGGCTGAGATGGGAAGATTGCTTGAGCTCAGGAGTTTGAGACCAGCCTGGGGAACAAAGTGAGATCCTGTATCCTAAAAAAAAAAATATATATATATGTAAATATATGTACACACACACGTATATATATACACATATATGTGTACACGTGTACACATATACACATATATGTGTACACGTACACATATATGTGTACACACGCACACATATGCATGCACATGCATGCATATATATACACAGGTACGCATACGTGTATACACATGTACGCATATATGTATACATATGTACACATACACATATATGTATATATTTACACATATACACATATATGTACATATACACACACATGTATATGTGTACATACGCACACATGTATATGTGTACACATACGCACACATGTATATGTGTACACATACGCACACATGTATATGTGTACACATGTACACATACACACATATGTATATATGTACACATGTACACACACATATATGTATACGTACACATGTACACGTGTACACATACATATGTATATATGTACACGTGTACACGTGTACACATACATATGTATATATGTACACGTGTACACGTGTACACATACATATGTATATATGTACACGTGTACACGTGTACACATACATATGTATATATGTACACGTGTACACGTGTACACATACATATGTATATGTACACATGTACACATACATATGTATATATGTACACATGTACACATACATATGTATATATGTACATATATACACATACATATGTATATATACATATATTTTTTAAAGTGAAAAAATATATATTTCTGGCCAGGCACAGTGGCTTATGCCTGTAATCCCAGCACTTTGGAAGGCCGAGGCAGGTAGATCACTTGTGGGCAGGAGTTCAAGACAAGCCTGGCTAACATGGTGAAACCCCATCTCTACTAAAAATACAAAAATTAGCTGGGCATAGTGGTGGGCACCTGTAATCCCAGCTACTGGGGAGGCTGAGGCAGGAGAATTGCTTGAATATGGGAGGCGGAGGTTGCAGTGAGTTGACATGGCATCACTGCACTCCAGCCTGGGAAACAGAGTAAGACGCCATCTTAAAAAAAAAAAAAACTATATATATATTAGGTCATTTCTTTTGGGGGATGAAATATATATATATATATATATATATATATATATATAAAATAATTAGAGTAAGGAAATTAAAACGTTTTTATATTCTTATTCTGTATTTACTTATTTAAAGCTTAGTTTTGTTTGGTTTTGAATTATGTATCTGGCTTGAGTTGGGGGCAACCAGTCTTCAGTGTTAGGGGTCCTGTCTCTAACAAAACAATATAGATCTACATGATCTTTTTTAGTTGTTTCATGAATTCCTTTACGGACAGGTCACACAACACCTTATTTAACCAATGATGAGCATTTAAGTGGATTCTTTTTTTTTTTTTTGATACAGAGTCTTGCGCTGTCACCCAGGCTGGAGTGCAGTGGCACGATATCGGCTCACTGAAACCTCCGCCTCCTGGATTCAAGCGATTCTTATGCCTCAGCCTCCCACGTAGCTGGGACTATAGGTGCACACCACCACGCCCAGCTAATTTTTGTATTTTTAGTAGAGACAGGGATTCACCATATTGGCCAGGCTGGTCTTGAACTCCTGACCTCATGGTCCACCCACCTCGTCCTCCCCAAGTGCTGCGATTACAGGAATGAGCCACCGCATCCAGCCTTAAGTGGGTTTTTTGTTTGTTTGTTTTTGCTTTATATAATATGCTTTTGGGGGGCCTCAGACTCCTTCAGTTCTTGTATACTGTGGCTATCAGGTACAAGAGGGCCTGAATGGGCCAGGTGTGGTGGCTCACGCCTGTAATCCCAGCACTTTGGGAGGCCGAGGCGGGCGGATCACAAGGTCAAGAGATTGAGACCATCCTGGCCATCATGGTGAAACTAAAAATACACAAGTTAGCCGGGCGTCTCTACTAAAAATACACAAGTTAGCCGCGCGTGGTGGTGTGCGCCTGTAATCCCAGCTACTCAGGAGGCTGAGGCAGGAAAATTGCTTGAACCCGGGAGGCAGAGGCTGCAGTGAGCCGAGGTTGTGCCACTGCACTCTAACCTGGGAGAGAGAGTGAGACTCCATCTCAAAAAAAAAAAAAAAAAAAAAGAGGGCCTGAATGTATCAAAGCAAATAGCACAATCGATTACGATATTTCCCCTAGTCTTGTAACAGTAAAAGAGATCAAAAACTTTGAACAAAAATAAACTTAAAACAAATCTGCCACTCCGCTGAACAAGGACTCTGTATATCTCTAGTTCCTAAAACGCTGTGTATTTAGTTTGATCTCCCCCTGGGAGTAGCAGTATGTCTTAAAATTTTCGAAGAGAGTGTGGGGAATCCTCTCACTATTGCTCCCTTGGGGCAAATGCTCTCCTGATGTAGTTTCCTCCACATGTTTCAGAATACTACTTCCGACTCCACCTACTAGTCTGGAAGAAAATCACTATGCCATATAGTTGACAGAAAAAAACGGACTTTTTAATATTTTTAAATATAGGTAAAAGTAGAGAAAGGGGTAAAATGAAATCCTTAAAGTTAAGCTATAATCCTGGTTTAACTGAAATCCTTAAAACTTTTCTCACTAATAAAAAGTTTTCGGCCGGGCGCAGTGGCTCACGCCTGTAATCCCAGCACTTTGGGAGGCTGAGGTGGGTGGATCACGAGGTCAGGAGTTCGAGACCAGCCTGGCCAACATGGTGAAACCCCGTCTCTACTGAAAATACAAAAATTAGCCGGGCGTGATGGCGAGCGCCTGTAATCCCAGCTACTCAGGAGGCTGAGGCAGAAGAATCGCTTGAACCCGGCAGGCAGTTGCACTCCAGCCTGGGCGACAGGGCGAGACTCTGTCTCAAAACAAAATAAAACAAAAAAAAGTTTTGGCTGGGTGCAGTGGCTCACGCCTGTAATCCCAGCACTCTGAGAGGCCAAGGTGGGCAGATCACGAGGTCAGGAGTTCGAGACCAGCCTGGCCAACATGGCGAAATCCCGCCTCTACTAAAAATACAAAAATTAGCTGGGACTAATTACTGGTGGTGGGTGCCTGTAATCCCAGCTACTCAGGAGGCTGAGGCAGGAGAATTGCTTTAGAACCCGGGAGGCGGAGGTTGCAGTGAGCTGAGATGGAGCCCCTGCACTCCAGCCTGGGCGATAGAGCGAGAGTTCATCTCAAAAAAAAAAAAAAAAAGTTTTAAAGGTATTTGCTCCATCACCCCCACCCCACAAAAAACTCACCATCAACAATCATACCAAAACTCATCTTTCCTGACGACTTCTAAGAAGTGAAGTGTAGGAAATGAAAGGGTTATTTTAATTCTGGGACTGTTCTTTTGTGAAAATACAAAGAAAGCCGTTATGAACAGCCCCAGGGACTAGTGCTTCTTGATGTTGGAAACTGTACAATTGTACACACATTTTTAATTTGGAGTTCACAGCCACAGTGTTTCCTGGGAGTAACCCTGAGGCCTGGAGTTGTAGCTGCTCATTACCCTATACAAGTCAAACTCCTGAAGTGCACTAGAGCACAAGAGTATGGGTCTGGACACTTAATTATTTCTGAGCACAGTATGACATAAGGTGCTAGCTGGGATCTAAAAGTTTTTGAGACTTGGCCATTGTGATGATGTACAGAGAGGCAGGAGGTCTTCTCAGGAGTTAAACATGAAGAGGGTTGGAGAAACAATGCAGAGCAAAGAAAGTCCCATTCCCACTTTTGTGTTATGAAACCTTAGGTGGCAAGTAGATTTTTGCAGAATGGTATGGGAACCCTCCTTAGGTAGGCATCTCAGGGATAATATATAAAATAGGAAGGCTATAAATCCTGTAAAGGAGGTAGTAGTGGACTAAAATGGACAGAATTTATACTTATAACTAATGTTTCATCACTACCAAATCCACCCTGCTCCCAACTCCATTGGCGTGACTAGATGATGCTGACTTTAATGAGTAATCTGAAACACTGGCAATATTTGGCTTTGGTGATGGCTAACTTCAGACCTCATAAATATTATGTAACCCTAGTCTTTTTGCCTCTGGCCAACCAGACTGACTGCATAAATGGCAAACTGACATTGAGAATTTATGAGCTCTGCTGCATTAGTAATGCACATTTCCTTTTGAATTATTCTAGCCTGTAGCCTGAAGCAGATTATAATTATCATTCCTTTTGCCGCACAAGTCTGAAGATCTACAAGTGGTTCAGGTAGCTACATGAATATATTTCAATGTTTTAGGAGGGTGGGTAAATAAAAACCCATATGTAACAAATGAAAAACAGATGCATTTATATAATGCTACAATTTAAAAAATATCCTAGCTAATTAAAATTTGGTCTCGGTCACAGTAAATCCATAGAAAATGTTTCTCTATCTTACTGAGATGTTTTTCTCTTTACCGTCAAAAAATTGGTGATGGTATTGTTCAGTTTACTTGGAGCAGAGTGTTCAGGTAGTCAATGATCTAAGCTATGGATAGTTAGCTCTACACTAAGATAAATACGTGGTCTTAGCTGTTTGGAATGCATTTTCCGACATAAACAATGTGGCTAAGTTCTCAGCTAGCCCAGTAGCTCATAAGACAAATAAAATGCTACACAATTGCAATGAAAACAAAAAACTAGGAAACAATACAGCTGTAAGCATATATTTTGGCCACATTATAGGTTTTTTGAGCTGGCCTGGGAATGTTGCTGCCATTTACAACATGGTTTCTAAAGGATAACATATTCCACATTTTTGGACAATTAAGGAAATTGAAACGTCCACTTTACTGCTTCCTACCACATATTCTCGGCCATTTCCACTCAAACCCTAAGTGGCAGAAGATGAAGGCTGAGTACCCCCAGGAAAATCTAGAGAGGAGAAGAGAGGGCCAAGTCCTGTCCCTTCCTGTAATAGCTGTACCAGCCCCAGAGCCAGGATTCTCATGCTGCTTCAGCTTCTTTCAACTTCTACAACAAGTGAAAGGAAGTAAGTCTCTGTCTTGAAGTTCAAGCAACCCTGCTTTCCTAACTGTTAGCACCAGAAACAACATGTCAAGCTCAAATACAGCCACCCGGAGACAAAACATGGTGGCTCTGGAGGACTAATGTCACTAACCAGAACTCACCAACGGGGTAGGAGGTCTAGATATTAAGTGTTCAGAACCCAGATGGAACCAGTGAAGCTCAACTGTTGAGCTTCAGCTCTGGCTCTATGATTTACTAGCTTACAATCTTCAGCAAGTTACTTAACCATTTAATGCCTCAGTTTCTTCATCTGTTAAAAAATGGGGAAATAAAAAACTGTTGTAAAGATTAAATGAGTTTACATGTCTTAAGAGTTCATTAGCACAGCGCCTGGCATGTAGCAATTGATAAATTGAGCTATCACTCATAGGTTTAATATCACAACAAGTGAAAAAGGTACAAAAATGCTCTCTCCTTTTTTAAAGCTCTACTATTTTTTTTTCTGGTCTCTAGCGTAGCAGTTGTTAGGTAGGAAGACGTAATTTAGCAAGTAGATATCGATGACCAGAAAGAGTCTCTGTACCTCTGAAATATTCACACACACACACACACACACACCCCAAGTAAAACCTAGACTTTTTTTTTTTTCTTGAGATGGAGTTTCCCTCTTGTTGCCCAGGCTGGAGTGCAACGGCACGATTTTGGCTTACAGCAACCTCCGCCTCCCGGGTTCAAGCGATTCTCCTGTCTCAGCCTCCCAAGCAGCTGGGATTATAGGTATGCACCACCATGCCCAGCTAATGTTTTTGTATTTTTAGTAGAGACAGGGTTTCTCCATGTTGGTCAGGCTGGTCTTGAACTCCCGACCTCAAGTGATCCGCCCACCTTGGCCTACCAAAGTGCTGGAATTACAGGCGTGAGCCACCGCCCCCAGCCATAAAACCTAGACTTTAACATTACAAGTACATGTAAGTAATAGACAACAGTAAACTTATCTATGTTGTTTTACTAATAATATTTTAAAATAAAGCATTTAAAAGTCTGACAATGCCAAGTACAGGTTGAAGATGTGGGAAAACAAGATCTCTCGAATACTGCTGGAGAGTCAACTGGTACAAACACCTTGGAAAACTGCCTGTCAATTATGAAGTCACTAATTCAATCCTAGGTATACACATAAAAGAAATGCATACAGAAGTGCATCCAAAAGACATACTCAGACTGTTTGTAATAGAAAAAGGTGGAAACGGGCCGGGTGCGGTGGCTCACGCCTGTAATCTCGGCACTTTGGGAGGCCGAGACAGGCGGATCACGAGGTCAGGAGATCGAGACCATCCTGGCTAACACTGTGAAACCCCGTCTCTACTAAAAATACAAAAAATTAGCCGGGCGTGGTGGCAGGCGCCTGTAGTCCCTGCTACTTGGGAGGTTGAGGCAGGAGAATGGCGTGAACCCGGAAGGCGGAGCTTGCATTGAGCCAAGATCACACCACTGCACTTCAGCCTGGGCGACAAAAAAAAAAAGAAAAAGGTGGAAACAACCCAGATGTCCATCAACTACAGAATAAATTACAGTAAATTCTTTTTTTTTTTTTTCTTGAGACAGAGTCTCGCTCTGTCGCCTAGGCTGGAGTGCAATGGCGCGATCTCGGCTCTCTGCAAGCTCCGCCTCCCGGGTTCACGCCATTCTCCTACCTCAGCCTCCCAAGTAGCTGGGACTACAGGCGCCCGCCACCACGCCCAGCTAACTTTTTGTATTTTTAGTAGAGACGGGGTTTCACCGTGTTAGCCAGGATGGTCTTGATCTCCTGACCTAGTGATCCGCCCACCTTGGCCTCCCAAAGTGCTGGCATTACAGGCATGAACCATCGTGCCCAGCCATAAATTCTTAAAACAGAAGACTATACAGCAAAAAAAATGAATTCACTACAGATACAATATAAATGGATCCTTAAAATATAAAAATCAGTCCCAGTGTGGTCTCTCACACCTGTAATCTTAGCACTTTGGGAGACAGAGGTGGGAGGACTGCTTGAGCCCAAGCATTCGAGATCAGCCTGGGCAACATAGGAAGACTCTGTCTCTAAAAAAAATTAAAAATTAGCCAGGCATGATGGCATGCATCTGTGGTCCCAGCTACTTGGGAGGTGGAGGTGGGAGGATCACTTGAGCCTGGTAGGTTGAGGATGCAGTGAGCTGTGATCATGCCACTGCATTCCAGCCTGGGTGACAAAGAAGACCCTGTCTCAAAACAAACAAACAAACAAAATCACACTGTTTAGGAATCTATACACAAGTGGTAAAACTATAAAGGTAAGCAAGAAAGTGAATACTACTAAAGTCAGGATAGTGGCTACCCAGGGGATGAAAGAGATTTGGACTGGGAAGAAGCATGCAGAGGTTTTCTGAGGTGCTGGTGATATTCTGATTTTTCTTAAAACACAGTACAGTAGGCCGGGGGTGGTGGCTCACACCTGTAATCCCAGCACTTTGGGAGGCGGAGGCGGTAGGATCACGAGGTCAGGAGATGGAGACCATCCTGGCTAATACGGTGAAACCCCATCTCTACTAAAAATACAAAAAGTTAGCCGGGCGTGGTGGCCGGCGCCTGCAGTCCCAGCTACTCGGGAGGCTGAGGCAGGAGAATGGCGTGAACCCGGGAGGCGGAGCTTGCAGTGAGCTGAGATCGGGCCACTGCACTCCAGCCTGGGTGACAGGGCGAGACTCCGTCTCAAAACAAACAAACAAACAAACAAACAAAAAAAAAACACAGTACAGTAGTTACATAGGTATTTGCTTCATAATCATTCATTAAATTGTATATTTCTTTTACACGTTTCTCTCTACATATTTCACAATAAAATGCTGGGAGTTAGGAAGGAAGAAATGAGGCCAGAATTAGAAAATAAAACAACAAAAAAAAAAAAAAGAAAAAAATTCTAACAATCAGGGTTTCTCTATATTTTGAAGGAATAAATTTAAAATCTTTATTGATGTGTTAAATTCAAGCAATTTCTTCCAATCAAGAAAAATAAGAAATCAGAAATAATTCACAATTCTTACTATACAGGGAAAACATTAATAGCACAGTTGTCTACACGACATTTAATTTACTAGGCCATGAGAAATTTATATTTGCAAATTTTTTAAAATGAAGTCTTATAATTACTCTATTACTACAAACTAATTGATAAAACCCTTGTTGGATACATAATTATATTCTTATTCCAGAGCTTTTTAGTTGATATAATCTATGTAGACAGCCATACTGCTTGTTGAAGCAGAAAAAGCTACTAAATTTTCTAAGCAGAAAACCTGGATCCTTTCAGGAACTTCATAATAATAAAACAGTTGATATATTTGTGGCAATTTACAAAGTAACATCATACATATTATTAAGTTTGGCACAACAACCCGGACCAGGTGGTAAACTGGGAAAATAACCTTGTACCTATTTTATAGGCAACGCCCTAACCAGAAATAACACACACACACACACACACACACACAAAAACTGAGACTTATGGAGGCTAATGAATTTGTCCACGATCACAAATTTACAAGTGGCAAATCTGGGATTTACCTAAGCCTATTTTAAAAACTTTTTATTATAGAAAATTTCAAAAACACACAAAAGTAGATTAGTGTAACAAATCCCCATGTATCTATCATTCAGCTTCAACAATGGCCAATAGATGGCCAATCTTGTTTCATCCATAACCATCATCCCTTCCCACTGGATAATTTTGAAGCCTATTCAGATATCATATAATTTCAACTGTAAATATTTCCATGTGTACATCCAAAAGATGAGGACTTTTTTTTTTTTTTTTTTTTTTGAGATGAAGTCTTGCTCTGTTGCCCAGACTGGAGTACAATGGCATGATCTCCACTCGCCGCAACCTCCGCCTCCTGGGTTCAAGTGATTTTCCTACCTCAGCCTCCCGAGTAGCCGGGATTACAGGCACGCACCACCACTGCCAGCTAATGTTTTGTATTTTTAGTTGAGACAGGGTTTCACCATGTTGGCCAGGCTGGTCCCAAATCCCTGACCTCGTGATCCCCCCCGCCTCGGCCTCCCAAAGTGCTGGAGGCCGTGAGCCACCATACCCGGCCTGTGATGAGAACTCTTTTTAATGGTTTAATAATATAATATTATACCTTTAGAAATTAACAATAGTTCCTTAGTACCATCAAATATTTTATCAGCCTTTAGATATTCTCCTTTTGTCATATATTCTTTTTTAAATTAAACAAATGGGCTGGGCCCGGTGGCTCACACCTGTAATCCCTGCACTTTGGGAGGCCGAGACAGGCACATCACTTGAGGTCAGGAATTCGAAACCAGCCTGGCCAACGTAGTGAAACCTTGCCTCTCTAAAAATACAAAAAAATTAGCCCGGGCATGGTGGCAGGCACCTGTAATCCCAGTTACTTGGGAAGCTGAGGCAGGAGAATTGCTTGAACTCGGGAGGCGGAGGTTGCAGTGAGCCAAGATCGCACCACTGCACTCTGGCCTGGGTGACAGAGTGAGATTCCGTCTCAAAAAAAAAAAAAATTAAACAAATGTATTATTAAAATAGGAGCCAAATAAGGTCTATTGTACTTGATTGCTATGTCTCTTATGCCAGTTTTAATGAATTCCTCCCTTTTTTCTTTCTCGTAAATTATTTGTTAAGAAAATGAATTTGTCCCTAGCACTTCTCACATTCTGTAACTTACCAGTTGTATCTTGGTGGTGTCAATTAATATGTTTCTCTGTCCTTTGTATTTCCTGTAGACATATTAAATCTAGGGATTTGTTCTGATTCAAGTTTGATTTTTTTATTTTTATTTATTTATTTATTTATTTATTTAGAGATGGAGTCTTGCTCTGTCGCCCAGGCTGGAGTGCAGTGGTGTGATCTCAGCTCGCTGCAAGCTCCACCTCCCGGGTTCACGCCATTCTCCTGCCTCAGCCTCCCGAGTAGCTGGGACTACAGACGCCCGCCACCAGGCTCAGCTAATTTTTATTTTTAGTAGAGATGGGGTTTCACCGTGTTATCCAGGATGGTCTCCATCGCCTGACCTCGTGATCCACCTGCCTCGGCCTCCCAACGTGTTGGGATTACAGGCGTGAGCCACCACGCCCGGCCTCAAGTTCAATTTTTTTGGCAAGAATATTTAATGGACAGTGGTGTGCTCTGATAGCTGTGGCTCTTTTTGTGATGTTAGCAACCATTGATGACCAGTAGATAGATTCATTATTTCACGAGGGGTTTGCCAAATGGTGATATTCTCTCAGACCTTCTTAATTTGTTGGCAGAAATACTTCTAAAAAGAGAAACTTTCTTTCATCAAATATTTGGTCATCCTGAGGTTCAGTTCCATACAGGATATATCAAGTTAAGGGCTTGATTCTTTCCTTCTACTTAACCAGTTTTCAAGAGTGAGTTAAAAAATATAGGGCTTTCAACAACAAATTCAGTGTTCCTAATCAGAGATTACATAAAGTATCTATCTAGAAGATGATCTATTTCTATCTAAATGATTTCTACAGGGAAGGTTGAGTCAAGTGAAACATAATTTCACTTTGAAATAAGAATACTAATCAGAATCCAGTAAAACAGAAACATTTTACTGATTTTATCATAAAGTAAAACTATTAATCTCTCAGACTTAATAAATCACGTATCTTTTCTATTCTTTTCTTCTCACACTTTTATTTCGGGAGTGGGATGAGGCTGGGAGATTAGAGGTAACAAGATAAGACTGCAATTTAAAGGGGGAAAAACTCAACTCCAAATGGGTTTTTCTTTAAGAAGGAAACCCAAAACCAAAAGAAAACAGGTAAAATTAGCTATTGAAATTATGGCTATGTGAATCAACCCTTGCTCCCTACATCTGGCAGCATTTAGCTCCCCGAGGGCATGCTTGGTGCCCCAGGGCACCGTTACACATGTTTGACCAGCCGGGCAACAAGAAAGGACGCAGAAACTATGAATAGAGGCAGCAGGTAACCATCAGGCCGACCAAATGGCTGAGGCACTTTGACAAAACACACAATGAAGCAACTGGTTATTCCCATGGCTGAAAAGTCAACGACGTAGGGCTTTATTTTGGGATTCGAATTCCACAACACTCCTCTTTAAGTCACTGGGTTACTTCCTTGTTTAAATCAGGTCCTCAAATCCTCCCTTTTCTTTCAGACACTCAGTGAAAAGCATCAGAGATGAGCTGTATAAAGCTACTTTGTATTCTTGCCAAAAACCCATCTGAGAATTCAACTAGACTGTTTTCTGGACTCTACTCCAAGTCTGTGCAGGAAGTGAAGGTGCCAAATTATTCTGGAAACACTTTGGTATTGTGCTCAAAAAGAGAGAGAAAGCATATGTGAATGACTTCCTCCATCTTATTATATAATATCCATTTTACAACTGAGATAAGTCTAGTGCTATAGTTTTAAATATGGCTCCCCTCTAACTAAACATTTTATTATTATAAAGGACAGGCTTTGCCCACCTTTCCTACAACCTAAAGCCCTCTTTTGGAGCCCCTGGTAGGGGAGTGTCTCCCTTCTCTCCCACCAAGATCCCTACCCTCTGCTCTTCCTCTGGGGTCTTCACCAAGACTACTGAAAACATACCCAACTCATTCCTTCTAAAGCAATCTTGGCAAAACCCAGAGTGATAACTCCTATTAAACTAAGCCTTTATGAGGATACTCCATTAACCCAAAGAAAATTCTAATACGTAGTTGGACATTTTATGTTCCAAGAAGGCTGTAGGGGACATATTTTAGGGCCAGTGGACCTTTCCAATTATTTCAAATTATATCATTTGTTAATAATAACCTGTTTTATAAAAATATGACACTCTGGGGGAAAATACTATAAATGTCTTTAGTCTCCCAATAAAATATTTCTGAATTATGAATTTTTAAAAATGATGAGTACTTGAGAAAATTTTCCTAAATTATCATTTCCTAAATTATCATTATCATACCTAAAGTCTTTACTTCTGAAAAGTAATTTCTTAAAACTACACAGCAGGATGACATTTTTAATGTATGAGACATACATACATGTGAGTGAGCTTAACTGTAGAATTAAGACATTCTTTAACAACTGGTTCACATACAACTAAATATTTAGAGAAGCTAAATATATTTCCAATTTTAAGTACAGAAGAAAGTTAAATGAACGACTTTCTTAAGAAACAGTATATTTCCTGCGAATTGATGTCGCTCCATGGTCTCCAATTTAAGACAAAAGCAGAAACGTAATTGCTGGCTGCATTCCTATTGCTCATGACTTTATTACAAAACCAGAAGCAAATCAAGGATTTGAATTTAGAAAGATGCTTTCCAGTGGTAAAGGCTGAAGATAGGGTTCATGGGGTAAGAATGCAGAGATTTTGTTTAGAATATCCCTCTATAACATGGTAGCAATGTTGTGTCACACACCCTTGGACCTCGACCCTTACTTCATGCCTACTTTAGTTCATTTCCACCTCTGCAATACATTTTTTTAAAAATGTAGGCTTACGCCAGGTGTGGTGGCTCACGCCTGTAATCCCAGTATTTTGGGAGGCCGAGGTGGGCAGATCACCTGAGATCGGGAGTTCGAGACCAGCCTGACCAACATAAAGAAACCCCGTCTCTAATAAAAATAAAAAAAAATTAGCCAGGCATGGTGGCACATGCCTGTAATCCCAGCTACTCAGGAGTCTGAGGCAGGAGAATTGCTTGAACCCAGGAGGTGGAGGTTGTGGTGAGCCGAGATCACACCATTGCACTCTAGCCTGGGCAACAAGAGTGAAACTCTGCCTCAAAAAAAATAAATAAATAAATAAATAAAATAAAATAAAATGTAGGCTTAAAGGCCGGGTGCAGCGGCTCATGTCTGTAATCCCAGCACCTTGGGAGGCCCAGGCGGGTGGATCACTTGAAGTCAGGAGTTTGAGACCAGCCTGGCCAACATAGTGAAACCCCATCTCTACTAAAAATACAAAAATTAGCTGGATGTGGTGGCGCATGCCTGTAAATCCCAGCTACTAGGGAAGCTGAGGCATTAGAATTGCTTGAACCTGGGAGATGGAGGTTGCAGTGAGCTGAGATGGTGCCACTGCACTCTAGCCTGGGCAACAGAGTGAGACTTTGTCTCAAAAAATAAATAAGTAAGTAAGTAGAAATAAAAATAAAATGTAGACTTAAAAATGAGCCTACATTAGGGATCATGAGTTTGAGGCGGTTATTTTTGTGGGCTATAGTTTTTTCATTCACCTGCTTTTCTGGAAAATATTTGCTCACCACAGATGCTCATGTTATGGTAACTCTAAGACCAGAAAACAATCCCTATCTCTGTTTCGCTGTAATATTGACAGTTTCTCTTAGTCAGGCTTTTGTCTATATACTATTTTGTAAATGGGCAAGAACTAAAATGTGCTGGGGATTTTAGGTATATCTTTTCACAAAAGTATATTTTAAAAGCAAATAAATAAGTACTTCTTCTTTGAGACAAGGTTTGGCTCTATCCCTTATGCTGGAGTGCAGTGGTGTGATCTCAGCTTACTGCAAACTCAGCCTCCTGGGTTCAAGCAATTCTCCCACCTCAGCCTTCAAAGTAGCTGGGACCACAGGCGTGCACTACCACAGGCACATGCCACTAGGCCTGGCTAATTTTTCTATTTTTAGTAGAGACAGGTTTTCACCTAGTTGCTCAGGCTGGTCTCAAACTCCAGAGATAAGCAATCCTCCTGCCTCAGCCTCCCAAAGCGCTGGGATTACAGGCGTAAACCACCATGCCCAGCTAATAAGTACATTTATAACTACTGGCAATAGTAAGCAGTACTTTGAAAGGTGACACATTCTCTCTAGAGTCTCAGTATCTTTGGGTTTGTTATGGTTTGACCATGCATGTCTACTGAATTCTTATTCTTCTATTTTCCTACTTTGTTCAGTCTCTGCTATATTTTAGAAGACTAAAAATGGTGTGTAAAGATGCTTTAACAATAAATACATAATTAAAGTAACATACTAATCATGGCAAGTTTATGAGAAAATCAAGAATCAAGTTAGAATACATTTTTAATGTCCTTAAATTATTACAGGGAATTCATAGGTATAACAGACATTAAAAACAAGCACTCTCCTTCCTTTTTTATTCCTAAGAAACTAATTTTCCATCACAGCTTCACATTTTTGCATGTCTAAATTTGTTATATAGTTCGTGGCAAACCTTATTTTTCTTTATAAGTCTTCCTTTCAGAGATGACCAAGATATTATTGGTAAATGAAAAACAAGTTGCATATTATATACACAGCATGTTACCACTAAGAAAACACACACACACACACACACACACACACACACACACACACACACACAGACACACATACAGAAGTCTGCTCATGTGTAGGAAAAAAAGTCTAGGTGAGAATAATTACTAAGTTTTCCTGCTTCAAACTCTTCAATGTTTATCCACTGCTTTTTGAACATAGTTTCAACTTCCCATTATGGCCTTGAGGGCCTGCAATGGTCTGACCCCACCTCCCTCTGGCCTCCTGGCACTCCACCCTCCTGTCACTCACTGCCGCCAGCCACAGGGGCCCCCTTTCTGCTCCTCAGAGACACTAAGCCCTTTCTGGGCTCTGCATTTGCTCTTTCACCAAGTTCTCACATCACTGGCCCATTCATGGCCTTTGAGCCTCAGCTCAAATGTCACTTCATCAGCAGGCCTTCTGGGACCTCTCTCTCTAAAGTGGTCCCCCCTAGTTACTGGCACCCTCTTAGCTTTGTTTATTTCCCTAAACGCACGTTTCTCATTTTGAAGTTATCATGTTTGTTTGTCTAATTGCGTCTATTGTTTCCCCATCAGAATGGCAACTCCGTGAGGTCTGAAACCCCAGCCCCCACTAGTACCAGGGGACCTAGCACATTTAATCCCTCACCAAATCAAGAGACTTGCAGCTGAGGGATCTGGCCCTCCCTTTCTTTAGGTCTCTTCAGTCTGGTGAAATCCTTGTCACTTTGCACCTGAATTTTCTTCTTTCAGAGTTTAACTTTTATAGTTTAGACTTTACTTTCTTACCAAAAGAACTTGTCACATGAGCAGACACAACAGAAGGTAGAGAGTAAATTCCACTGCTACCTGGAAAGTGAGGGATAAGAAAACTTCATGCAAACTTTAGCACAAACGACAACTGAAGACAAATTAAAAATGAAGAAAAAGATTTTCAGAAATTATAATGTTAAGTCAGAAGGGAATATGACATACACACGTGTACACGTACAAAATCATAAATACACATACACACTCATATCCTTACACACACAAATACAGTCATGCATCACTTAACAACAGGGATACATTCTGAGAAATGCATCATTAGGTGATCTGTGATTGTGAGAACATCCTAAAGGGTACTTACACAAACCTAGATGGTATAACCTACTACATCCCTATGCTATATGGGATAGCCTATTGCTCCTAGCCTACAAACCTGTATAGCATGTCAGTGTACTGAATATGGTCAGCAACTGGAACACAATGGTAAGTATTTGTGTATCTAAACATGGAAAAGGTACTGTAAAAACAGCATTATATTCTTATGGGACCTGCCATCATATATGCAGTCCATTGTTGACCAAAATGTCATTGCAGGGCATGTAACTGTGGGTATGTGATTTACCTATAAGCACAAGATGACACCTGATGCCTAACTCTAGACACAGAGGCATATGGTTTTGTGTGTTAGGTTGGGAGTTTTCTAGTATTTATCATCTACCCTAGTGTCTGGCATACAGCCGACAATCAGTGGGTTTGCTGAATAAAGGAATGATTCCATTCATTCTCAGTTCCTGGAGTAATCTTGGCATATCCAACCTCATTCTTCCAGGCCCTCTTCTTCTAGACCCCTTTATGTTGCCCTGAAGGAGGGTACTGGGGTATGGGGAATTGACTTAGTTAATGCTCTAAGTCATAATTGTCTGCTCCTGACCCAGAAACCTTATGTTTGCTGTCAGGACAAAATAAGTAAATATAGATAATAAAAATTTATCCCCTTCCCTCTGGATAGGATGTTGGTACAGAATTGGTGACTGTGTCTTATTTGTACTTGCACCTCGTCAACTTACCTGCAACTGTGATTTCACTCTAGAGCCCTCAACTTTCTGTTCTGTCATCCATTCATCTTAACATGTCTCAGAAATAGAAACAAATTTGGGGGACACTAGGACAAATTTTAAAGATTACTATATTGTGTAAATTAAACTAAGATATGAGAGCAAGAAAGCCTTTCTGGTTTCTACAGCAAACAGAATGTCTAGGTAGGCGCTATGGGCTCACTGTGAAATCTGTGAAAGCTCTAGAAGTCTAACTTAGAAAAGAAAAAACTCCATGATGAAGGGGAGAGATTCATGAGCTACTCACTAAGTTAAAATATGGGGCACTCCCTAAGGAAATAAAGGATCTCAGCCATGACCATCAATGGTGCTAACATGACAAAAAGTGAGACAACCAAACGTGTGCCTCCTGAAAGATGTACAAGACGCTATCTGTGATGTATTCCTGCCAGAAAACTGAACTTGAATCTGATCATACTTCAGGAGGGAAGTGATGGAACCACCAATTTGCAGGAAACAGGAGGGGAAAAAAAGGTAAATGACATCATGGGGACCCAAAAAGCGAAATCTAGACTGAGAAAATCTATAGAACAAATGACCTGGTTTCATCAACAAATAAACCACAAGGGGAAAAACAGAGAGAGAAGGAACCTATAGAATAAACGATTAGAGACATATCAGCCAAATGCAACATGGGAATATGTTTGGTTCCTAATTCTAACAAAACAACTGAAACAAACAAACAAAAAGATAATCAAGGAAATCTAGACACTGACATATTTGATACTAAGAAATTACTCTCAAATTTGGTAAGGTTTAACCATCATATATCTTTAAAAGAGTACTTATATTTTAATATTTTAGAGATGCCTACTAAAATATTTACTAGATGTAATGATATATCTAACAATTGCTTCTACATATCACCTTGGAGGAGGGATGCAGGAAAGGGTGAATGTCAAAGTGAATCAAGATTATTGAAGTTGTGAAGACAGGCACGCTGAGTCCAGGAGTTTGAGGATGCACTGAGCTGACTGTGTCACTGCACTCCAGCCTGGGCAACGAAGCGACCCAGACTCTTAAAAAAAAATCTGATGGATGTTGGGTGATGCTTCTATCTCTTACACGGAGACTCATACCATTATTCTCTCTAATGCATATTTAAAATTTTCCATAACATGGTGCATACCTGTAATCCCAGCACTTTGGAAGCCCTGGGAGGCTGAGGTGGGCAGAACGCTTGAACCTAGGAGTTCAAAACCAGCCTGGGAAACATGGCGATACCCCATCTCTACAAAAAAATACAAAAATTATCCAGGTATGGTGGCACTTGCCTGTAGTCCCAGCTACTCGGGAGGCTGAGGTGGGTGGATTGATTGAGCCCTGGAGGTTAAGGCTGCAGTGAGCCTTGATCGTGCCACTGCACTAAAGCCTGGGCCACAGAGTGAGATCTTGTCTCAAAATAATAATAATAATAATTTTTTTCCATAACAAAAAGCTAAAAAAATTCTCAGTTAATATAATACCCATCAAAACACATCTACACCATATATCCTGTGGTCCAATAATTGCATCAGTATCACACTAGGTGCTTATTAAAATGTAGATTTCTGGGCTCTGCCCTAGAACAATTGATTGAGAAAACCCAGTTTGAAACCCAGGAATCTCTATTTTAATAAACTAAATTATGTTTACACACACCAAGGTTTCTTAACCAATGATTCCTACATACACAAAAGTTTGAGAACCATGGGCTAGCCATTTTGTGTCAGGCTTTATTCTCACTTTCCAAATGAGAAAATCAAAGTTTGGAGATAAATTAACTGGCCAGAGTTCACTATGAGACCCTGAAGGAATTGAGATCACTGAGCCTCTCAAATCTTGATTTTCTAGTTTACTGCTCAAGCATCAACTGAGCAATATGGCCTAATTAAAAAATATATTATCATTAGCTTTTAAAAGTTTGGCTCAAATTCTACCAGAACCAACTTATCCTTTTGACCCTTCAAGATTAAAACACACACACACACACACACACACACATACACACACACACACACACACAATCTATATGTCTTTAAAAAGGAGGCTTTATCAGGATGTAAGAAATAGCTTGGCATTCTGATAAAGTGGAGGTGTTCATGGCCAAATCCTGGGGATCTGGCTGAAAACCAAAAGCCCATTTTCATTCCATAGGGTCTTAGTATAAGGTATATAGCGGGGGGTTACCTGCTTGCCATTGGTGAAGATTACATGTAGGAAGTCATGTCTTTTTTCATGGTTAGGGTTCTGGAGGCCAATTTTTATCTGCCTGGAGAGGTCATTGGTTGGGCTTTGTGGTTTGGGTTTCTCAGAATTATTCTTGTTTGTAAAGACCCCCTGGGCCTCCATGCTTGGTAATGGTCTTTCAGCAGGTAACTAGAGAAAGTATGAGGTGGGTACATTTTTCTGTTTATCTAAATGGCTACTTTCACACCCTTCCCCTTTTTGGTATTAATCCAAGTGGTCTGATTTTGAATTAAGGAGGGGATTTAAAATGGAGGTACACAGATCCTTAAATGAGCAAAAACCAGTACCTTCATTTTTTCCCAACATTTTATGGAACACAACATTTTATGTCAAACACACAAAAAAGCTGAAAGAATTTTACAATGAGGCCAGGCACAGTGGCTCATGCCTGTAATCCCAGCACTTTGGGAGGCCAAGGTGAGCGGATCACGAGGTCAGGAGATCGAGACTATCCTGGCTAACACAGTGAAACCCCATCTCTACTAAAAATACAAAATCAAAAATTAGCCGGGCATGGTGGCGGGCGCCTGTAGTCCCAGCTACTTGGGAGGCTGAGGTGGGGGAATGGCGTGAACCCAGGAGGCAGAGCTTGCAGTGAGCTGAGATCACACCACTGCACTCCAGCCTGGGTGACAGAGCAAGACTCTGTCTCAAAAAAAAAAAAAAAGAATTTTACAGTGAACACTCACACTACCTAGATTTGACAATTAACATTTTACTATACTTACTCTTTACCACATTTCTAAACGTTTCACTATCCATTCACCCATCTTTTTTGGGGGGTGCATTTCAAAGTAAGTTTTAAAGATCAAGATCAGTATTCACTCTCCTATAATACTTCAACATGCTAGATTTTAATATATGTTTATAAGTTCCTTTGTTGGTGTCTTGAGGTAAAATTTACATACCATGATATGCACGAATCTTAAGGTACCATTCGATGAGTCCTGACGAATGCATGTACTGGTGTAACCAACATCTATCAAGATACAAACTATTATCAACCTTCCAGGAGGTTCTCTCCTCCCTTCCAAGCAAATCTTTGCCCTCACCCAGTACTTATAAAAATATGTGGCCTGATGCTTCCACATCATCTGGTGAGGTCAGGGATTGAAATCACTGTAACAATCCTCAAGTGGGGTAACTTAGGCCAGGAAGAAATTATTTTTTTTAGATCACATTAACATGATATGAAAACGAAAGTTCAGTCACTGAACAGTTTAAATGCTTTTCCCACTTGACTGTGTCCCAATTTTTCATTTTAAAATTTCCAAATGAAACTGAAATCAAATTTGTGACTTTAGACTGTTTCCAAGCAAACAAACAATTTTTTTTTGAGATGGAGTTTTGCTTTTGTTGCCCAGGCAGGAGTACAGTGGCATGATCTCGGCTCACTGCAACCTCCGCCTCCTGGGTTCAAGCGATTCTCCTGCCTCAGCCTCCTGAGTAGCTGGAATTACAGGCATGTGCCACCACGCCCAGCTAATTTTTTGTATTTTTAGTAGAGACGAGGTTTCTCCATGTTGGTCAGGCTGATCTCGAACTCCCGACCTCAGGTGATCAGCCCGCCTCGGCCTCCCAAAGTGCTGGGATTACAGATGTTAAGCCACCACACCCGGCTGCAAACAAACAATTGTTTATAATTTTTTGTCAAGACAAACCTATAGGAATAGCTAGTATGGAGAAAAAGAACCATAAATACATTTAAAAAGAGACAAAAACAATTCATATAGAAAATGCAATTAAGTTTAATTGCATTGACTGCTAATACTCACCTTACCATCTTAAAAACAAGTATTTGAAATAAATTCTAATAAAAGGAAAAGCCACGAGTATGTTACATAGCTAAACAGCACATATTTGCTTAATATTTACATTTTTATTATGATTCCAAATCTAATACAACCCAGATTGCAAAAATTAACAATTCCACTTTTTTTACTTATGCAAGCAAAGGCAGTAAGATTACTAAAAATATTCTTAGGATATCTGAAAACTATCAATAAACAGCATCTTTTTTCTTATTTGTTTAATAACTGCTGTCATTCTTTTTGTACGCAGCAATCACAAGATGTCAAACAAATTCTGCCTTGTCTGTGAGTACTGATAGATGTCTCTGCTTGTTTTTATTAAAAACAAAAAAATTTCCCTCCATTAGTTACCAACACTGGAGAAGTCAGGGCACTGCTGGGATGTTCACCAGCCTCTGGGCAAGCAGAGATGCAGCTCAAGAAAACCACAGAGCAAATGTGAATGCCGGAAGACATTTTTCTTTAACTCCCTTGGGGATCCGGCGACTCAACGTCTTAGATTCCCTTAAAGGGAAAAGCAGGAGTCTGCATGGGGGCAGGGTGGGATCATGTTTATCAGTCACAACAGTTCATCTGGGCCTGGATCCAGGTAGTCTGCATGTCTAAATTTGATGAAATATAGGCGCCACCAGGTAACAGTAGTGGTCAGGGAGCTTGCCAGAAACCTGTAACTCAAAACTAAAAAATGAAATTAAAAGACTACTTTAGCTAGGCAATTTCTTTCTTCAGGATGCAAACTGCAAACTACAAAGTTGAAAGAACAGACAATTCTTTGTTTTAAAGTTTCTTCTTCCTAATGTTAACACAACATCTGGGCCAGAAAAATATACACAAACATTTTCATACTTGCAGTTCAATACTGAACCAGCAGAACTTGCTCTCCTCTTCCTCCTTTCCCCTCTCCTCATTCTGCATGGGAGTTTGGCCTATGGCAGGGAGCCAAGGCCAGGGAGGTCTTGGGTGTATCCGGAGGGCAGGTACTCGGGGCAGTGGTGGCTAAGCAGACGCCTGACCCTGTCCTGTCAATAAACCTTAACCCCGACCTGCCAAGCCCCTGAGCCGCTCTTCTCTGTCTAGCCTTTTCTCTAATTGCTCTAAAAATGACTCTTCATTTAAAAGTACCTTTGTGTAAACACCCCACAGGAACTGACAGTCTTCAGAATCACCACACAGTTCTAGTTTTTCAGAAATGCAAGAAAAGTCTTTTACTGTTTGGTGGGACTTTGAAAATCAGTTTCAACTGCTGTGCAAAACAAAGCTCATCACTCGTTTAGCTTACTCTGCAGGTGACATTAATTTTGACTTTTAAGACTCTTTACAATGAAACATTAGACCATTTGATTAAGTAAGTTATTTGAGAGTAAAGATGGAGAAGTGATTTTCCCTGCAGAAACAGACTGCTTCTCTTACTTAGTTCTAAGCACCCCAGAGAGGTTAAGCTCAAATCTCCAGCTTCCTCATTCCATACCAGGAGTCCTGTGCTTCCTCATATAATTCTATCCCCATATATCCTAAAAGGACCAATATCTTTTTACCTAAACGTGAAAATGCAAACAAAAAATTAAAACGAAGAAGTGAGGAGATAATAGAAGAGGTTTTAGAGTATAGGATTTTTTTTAATGATAAAATTAACTCTGCCTTGTAGACAAGTACAAAACAATTTTTTTCTGGTTTGTGGCTTTTTTTAATAGTAGTAAAAAAAATTATATAAACACAATTTACTTTTGACTCCTTGGAAGCAATTCCCTGAGCCACTAAATTATTTCATTCCTATTGACATAATGGGAAAGCCATTTACTGTCAACTTTATAACAGGAAACCAGACCTGAATTTTGCAAATCCCAAGTTCTCTTCTGATTAGATGTAGGTTAAATCCTGCCTTTTAAAGTATGGCTTATTTAAATAGCTCAAATTTTTAAAAATTACTCTCTCTAGTAATTTATTACTAAACACTGACAAATAAAAGAAAGCTCCCCTAAATGTTCTATTTTCTCCACAATACTTATCACCTTCTAAAATACTTTGCTTTACTTATTTTATTTGCTTATTGCCTACCAATGCAAACTCCTATAGGGTAGGGGGTTTTGTCTGTGTTGATGTACTCCCAATGACTAGAACAGTGTCTGGCATATAGTAAGCCCTCAATAGTTTTAGAACTAGTGAATAAAAATTGGACACATTGTGCAAACACTGTTAAATGAAATAAGGGTATTTATCTTATTTCTACTTATCTACCTTACTCTACATTTCAGTATAAGCTCTTATTGTGGGCACGAAAGAAGACGGCCCCTGCTTTTTTTGTTGTTGTTTTTAATCAACTACCCGAAAGCTTTACCTGCCCTCCCCAATACCAGTTAAATTGCAGGGAGGAAAAGCCTTGATATTTCAGAGTTGAAGTAGATTTTAAAAACCACTTAAAACTGAGGTTAGGCCGGGCGCGGTGGCTCACGCCTGTAATCCCAGCACTTTGGGAGGCTGAGGCGGGTGGATCATGAGGTCAGTAAATCAAGACCATCCTGGCCAACATGGTGACACCCCATCTCTACTAAAAACATAAAAATTAGCCGGGCATGATGGCGTGCGCCTGTAGTCCCAGCTACCTGGGAGGCTGAGGCAGGCAAATTGCTTGAACCCGGGAGGTTGCGACAAGCCAAGATTGCGCCACTGCACTCCAGCCTGGAGACAGAGCAAGACTCTTGTCTAAAAAAAAGAAACAAACATACCTGAGATTGGAGCCCTAGAATGCCAGGAGGAATTTGTTGAACATGCAGATTCCCATGTCTCACCTATACCTACTGACTCAAATCCATATGTTCAAGTAACTTATAGTCTAGAAGAGAAAAAATCATGAACTAATTAAGTGATGGTTACAATATAGCACTAGAGGTATGATCAGGAAGCCACTGGAACCAAGAGGTGGCTCGTCTAAATCAAATGGTACTTGAGATGAATTTTAAAGAATGAGCAGAAATGTATTGCTAGATGAAGATTAGTGGCATGCACAATTCACAGAGAGTAGGTTTTATAAAGTTTATAGGTGCTAAGGCTTGACGGAAGAGGCCGCTGCACCTGGCCTCTTGGAGATTATATACATATATATAGTCTCTAGGCCCTTTCCTCCTTGGAAATATATAATATGTATATATTTTATATATATACAATAGACAGAGGGGTCTCTCTATGTTGCCCAGGCTGGTTTTGAACTCCTGAGTTCAAACAATCCTCCCGCCTCCACCTCCCAAAGTACTGGAATTACAGGCATGAGCCACCATGCCCAGCCCCATGAAAGTTTTTAAAAATAGTATTCTATTCTTGTTTTGCGGTTGGAAAATTTTTCTTGAGTATATTATTAATAGTTTTCTAGAAAATTTCTTCTCTGTGTAGTCTCTGAATTCTTTTTCTTTCTTTCTAACCTAGGCTGGAGTACAATGCAGTGGCAGCTCAAGTGATCCTCCTATCTCACACTCTTTCATAGATAGGACTACAGACATCCATCACCACACCCAGCTAATTTTTAAATATTCTGTAGAGATGGGTTCTCACTGTGTTGCCCAAGCTGGTCTTGAACTCCTCGTCTCAAGTGATCCTCCCACCTCAGCCTCCCAGAGTGCTGGGATTACAGGTATGAGCCACTGCGCCTGGCTTCTTTCTTTTGTTTGTTTGGTATTTGTCTTTTATATTAGAGGCGTTCTCAGATATCTGGAAATCCATGGTTGTCTGCTTCTATGTAAGAGTGGGGGATTTAAAACCCTCAGTGGACTCATGAAAGACAAGGAAAGACTGAGGAACTGTCAGAAGATTATAGAAGACTAAGAAGACTTTACAACTAAATTACATTGTGGAATACCGAATTGGATCCTGGAAAACAAAAAGAATTTTAGTGGAGAAATTGGTGAAATTTACCTACATTCTGGAAGATAAATAGGAGGGCAGAAAGGTAATAGCCCGCAGCAGGTGGCGGTGGGGTGAGGGGGGGATGGGGGGTGTCCTAGCATCCAAGTATGCAGTTGTTCACTTAATCTCCCTCATCACTCATCATAGTACCCCACCCTTAACCGGGATACTATGTTGCTAGCCTTCTCCAGTCAGAGACCTCTCTGTTTTATTCTCTCTTGAGAGTGTTTTACTCTCTCCTAAGAATAATTCTGCCAGAATGGTAGAGGGGTAGTCATTACATTTTGTAGAGTATGAGATCTGGAGGTTAGCAGTTCTTCGTTTTAGTTCCACTTCACTCTTGTATCAAGAGATACCTGGTGCCACCAGTTGATTCCTGGGAATTCTTGCTTTCTCTACCACCTGAACAGGATTATGTTTTCTTGGTTCTGCTGCCATTTACTTCCTATTATCTGCTTTTCAGCTTCTGGTCTTTTTTTGCTTGTTTCCTGTTGTCTCCTCTCCTGTTCTCTAATCTTATAGGGTCATGCCCTAATCTACAAGAGAGGCAGCAAGGGTAGATGTGTATTTGAACTTTGGACTTCTGAAATGAATTTTGTTGCATCTTGGCCAGAAATATTGCCCTTATACGTGTCATATTTTGTTTCATTTTACTTCAGTTTTGCAATTTCCTTTTTTTTTTTTTTTTTTTTTTGAGACAGAGTCTCACTCTGTCGCCCAGGCTGGAGTGCAGTGGTGCGATCTCAGCTCACTACAACCTCCTGCTCCCAGGTTCAAGCGATTCTCCTGCCTCAGCCTCCCAAGTAGCTGGGATTACAGGTGCCTGCCACCACACTCGGCTAATTTTTGTATTTTTAGTAGAGACGGGGTTTCACCATGTTGGTCAGGTTGGTCTCAAACTCCTGATATCGTGATTCACCCGCCTCAGCCTCCCAAAGTGTTGGGATTACAGGTGTAAGCCACCGCGCCCAGCCCAGTTTTAAAATTTCTTTTGTGGGACTAACCCTTATCTAATTTTCAATCCTTTTCCTTTACCTAGTGACAATTACCCAATTTCTCAAACAGTTCACTGGGTCTTATCACCTCTGATATGATGACAGCTTGAAGGGCCTCAAGTTTTTCTGCAAGTCCATTTTTTTTTCTCTATTAAATTCTGGGCAAGACAACACTGTTAATCTTTGAAGACTATCCATGAATCACATTTTTGTCCATATTCCTAATTTTTCCTTTAACTTTTTTTTGCCCTCATACTTCATGTCTGGTAATTTTGTTAGTCAGAAATCTACCACTTACCACTCATGGGATGAAAAAAGCACAGTCCTTACCCTGAGGGAACTTACAGTTTAATACAGGTGAACGTGAGCCACCTTTTATATATATGTATGTATGAAAGGTTTTAGATATATACACATATATACATATATACACATATATACATATATATACACATATATATACATATATACCTATATATACACATATATATACACATATATATGTCTGTCTTGTTCCATGAAAGGTTTTATATATGTGTATATATATAAAATGTGTGTGTGTGTGTGTGTGTGTGTGTGTGTGTGTGTGTAAAACCTTTCATGGAACAAGACAGACTCTTGGAGATTTAAAATATGGCAACAGAAATGAAAACCTCAATTGAAGGGATAGAGAAGAAACTTGAGGAACTCCTCCAGAAAAGAAAGGAAACAGACCAAGTCCAGAGGGGATCTGGGAATTAAAGAACCACACAAATGAACGTGATTTTAAAATGTGATATACGTTACAAAGAAGCATAGACCACAATGACAGAATATATCTGAGGCCCCTCCTTTGGGTAGAGAGGTCAGGAAATCCCTCTCTTAAAGTGACAATGAGATGAAGACCTCAAGAACAAGCAGGAATTAGCCAGATGAAGAGCTGGGGGAAGATGGTTCAAGCACGAGGAATAGCATATGCAAAGATCCCAAGGAGGAAAGGGCCTAGAGAATTACAGCACCTGAGGGGCAGGCCAGTGGACAGGAGTGGAAGGACTGGAGACCAGAGTGAAGGGATGAGGCCAGAGAGCCTTGGAGGTCAGGAACTTACAGTGACTACAATGAGAAGCCAAGAAAAGATTTTAAGGGGGAGTGAAATGATCCAATGTACTTTTAAAATTTATTTTATTTTCATATTTTTCTTTCTTTCTTTCTTTTTTGGGGGGGTGGGGGCAAGGTCTGGCTCTATCGCCCAGGCTGCAGTACAGTGGCGCCATCCTGGCTCACTGCAACCTCCACCTCCCCAGCTCAAGCAATCCTCCCACCTCAGCCTCCCAAGTAGCTGGGATTACAGGTGCACACCACCACGTCCAGCTAATTTTTGTATTTTTTTTTGTAGAGACAGGGTTTTTCCATGTTGCCCAGGCTGGTCTCGAACTTCTGGGCTGAAGCCATCCACCTGCCTTGGCCTTCCAAAGTGGTGGGATTACAAGCATTAGTCACCACGCCTGGACTATTTATATATATATATATATATATATATATATTTTTTTTTTTTTTTTTTTTTTTTTTTTTTTTTGAGACAGGGTCTCACTCTGTCACCCAGGCTGGAGTGCAGTGGCATGATCTCAGCTCACTGCAACCTTGGACTCCTGGGTTCAAGCAATTCTCCTGCCTCAGCCTCTTAAGTAGCTGGGATTACAGGCACATGTGACCGCGCCCAGCTAATTTTTTTTTTCTTTTTTTGTTTTTTTTTTTTTGATAGAGACGGAGTTTCACTATATTAGCCAGGCCGATCTCGAACTCCTGACCTCAAGTGATCTGCCCGCCTCAGCCTCCCAAAGTGTTAAGATTACAGGCATGAGCCACCATGCCCGGCTCTCTATTTTTATAGTTTTAAGACACAAGAGTCCCACTCTGTTGCCCAGGCTGGAGTGCAGTGGCACAATCATAGCTCACTGCAGCCTTAAACTCCTGGGCTAAAGCAATCCTCTACCTCAGCCTCCCGAGTAGCTACATGCACATGCCACCATACCCAGCTAATTTTTAAATGTTTTATAAAGATGGGGGTCTCACTATGTTGCCCAGGCTGGTCTGGAACTCCTGGCCTTAAGCGATCCTCCCATCTTGGCTTTCCAAAGTGCTGGGATTACAAGTGTGAGCCACCATGTCTGGCCACAATGTACTTTTTCAAAGGTCACTTGACTGCAGTGTGGAGAATAAACTGGAGGAAGTATAATAGTTTAATAGGCAGTATTTTAATGACCATACAACAGCCCATCTCAACTTATGAATAAATCATAATTTACTGAATCATTTCTCTATTTTATTGGACATTTAGACTATTTCCAGTTCTTTGCTAATATTAATATAAGCGACACTGTAATAAACATTCTTGAACCTAAATCTTTGGCAGCATCTCTAATTATTTTCTTTCTTTTTTTTGAGACAGAGTCTCACTGTTGCCCAGGCTCGAGTGCAGTGGTGCAATCCCAGCTCACTGCAACCTCCACCTCCTGGGTTCAAGTGATTCTCCTGCTTCAGCCTCCCAAGTAGCTGGGATTACAGGTGGGCGCCACCATGCCTGGCTAATTTTTGTACTTTTAGCAGAGACGAGGTTTCGCCATTTTTGGCCAGGCTGGTCTCAAATTCCTGACCTCTGGGATTACAGGCGTGAGCCACCACGCCCGACTTAATTATTTTCTAAATATAGATTTCTAGAAGTGGAATTAAGTAAATAAGTTAAAGGGTATGAAATTTTGTGGCTATTTTATAAAAATTGTTTTTAAAAGATAAAGATTTTGATCATTAAATATAAAAAATCTACTTTGCAAAATGGATATCTTTTCACCTATCCAGTCAAATTATATCAGCGGAAATGTGCTTTAAAAAGATGAAAAACTAGGCCAGCGCAGTGGCTGACGCCTGTAATCCCAGCACTTAGGGAGGCTGAGGTGGGCGGATTACAAGGTCAGGAGTTCGAGACCATCCTGGCTAACATGGTGAAACCCCATCTCTACTAAAACTAAAAAAAAATAGCCGGGTGTGCTGGCGGGCGCCTGTAGTCCCAGCTACTCGGGAGGCTGAGGCAGGAGAATTTCTTGAACCCGGGAGATGGAGGTTGCAGTGAGCCGAGATTGCACCACTGCACTCCAGCCTGGGCAACAGGGCCAGACTCTGATTCAAAAAAAGAAAAAAAGATGAAAAACTATCTGGATGTAAAAATTACCACATTGTAAAAAATAAGTGGCAAGATAGTCATCAAAACCAATACTGTCCAACTTCTTGGTCAGAACAGGCCACATTTTAAACAACCAACATGTCAGAAGCAGGCTATGCCTCTGAATCAAATGACTACACCTTTGGGACAACCTAAAATAATCCCAATGTAATGTAATATGCTAAGTATATATCTCTTTGTGTTTTTATAATAATAAATTTCTGACCAGGCACGGTGGCTCATGCCTGTAATCCCAGCACTTTGGGAGGCTGAAGCAGGCAAATCACCTGAGGTCAAGAGTGCAAGACCAGCCTGGCCAACATAGTGAAACCCTGTCTCTATTAAAAATACAAAAATTAGCCAGGCATGGTGGCAGGTGCCTGTAATCCCAGCTACTTGGGAAGGCTGAGGCAGGAGAATCGCTTGCACCCAGGAGGTGGAGGTTGCAGTGATCCTGCTACTGCACTCCAGCCTGGGTGACAGAGTGAGATTCCCTCTCAAAAAAAAAAGTAGTCCAGATGCAGTGGCTCACGCCTGTAATCCCAGCACTTTCAGAGGCCGAGGCAGGCAGATCACTTGAGGTCAGGAGTTCGAGATCAGCCTGGCCAATATGGTGAAACCCCGTCTCTACTAAAAAATACAAAAAATTAGCTGGGCATGGTGGTGCGCACCTGCAGTCCCAGCTACTCGGGAAGCTGAGCCAGGAGAATCGCTTGAACCCAGGAGGCGGAGGTTGCCCTGAGCCAAGATCACGCCACTGCACTCCAGCCTGGGTGACAGAGCAAGACTCTGTCTCAAAAAAAAAAAAAAAGAAAAAAAAAGTATAATGTTTCTTTGTTATAAATATATTTACAAATTGGAAAAAATGCTTCATCAGACTGTGTCTCCCAATGCTGTGCATGGTCACGTTCTGCCAAGCAAAGCTGTCATTTTGCTCTCTCTATTCTCTCACATGTGGCCTCTTTCACACGCAAATTTCCCTCCTTTGTTCCTCATTTCAGTGACCAGCATCTGCATACCCAAGCCCCTTTATGTCCTTGCCTACTTCTTCTCCCTGCCATCCTGTCTTTGTATACAGGCCTCACCACCCTAATATTGACATATTTATTTTCTCTCCCATGGATGTGATCCCCCTCTCTCCCACACTACTTCGCTCTCACTTTCATCTTCCCTCAGACTCCTGAGACCTGTCACCTTTCCTCTCCCTTCTCTAATAACTCCTGCCCCCGGTCCTAGTTCAGGGAAGAACTGTTAAGTCAAGAAATCTGCCAAGGTGGCTGAGGGGACAACTGGGGCAGATGCGTAGATGCTGGGCATGAGGACACCAGGTGGCCAGGCTGGGTTTCCCAGGCCTCTGAGGCAGGAGGGGGTGGACCTGAACTAAAAGATGGGGCCAACGAAGCCGGGGACAGAAGCCAAGTCCTGCTGCTCGACAGCCGGAGCGCACACACAAGCCACCCGGAAATGCTCTGTGGCCTGGATGGGCTCTGAGAGTTGCCAGTTGGACATACTGACCTAGACAAGCAATTAGCTGTGTTCAAGGTCTGCTGCACAGATCATATACTCTTGTAAACTAGGCTAAATCCCCTGTTAAGAGTTACTGATTTTTCTTCCCCTAAATTCTCCAGATTTACAGTCACAATAAGAATTGGAAAACAAATCAGACAAGGGAACTGAACATTTGACACATACCGAACATGAGACTTAATGTTCTTTTATGTACTTTTGGAAACAAACCAGGTATTCAGTGAACACTGGGAGATCTAGTAGGTATGTTTAATGAGAATTTGTACCGGGAAGGAATTTGAGATCAAGGTCAGGAATGATTAATATGCATGCAGGAAGTCATCAACATTTAAGCATAAGCAGTATGAATCTCATTAAATCTTCAATAGCTTCCTATTGCCTGAAGGAACTGGTGGCATTCTAATGATTAAAGCAGTAACATTAAGGTAGAAAACAACATTAGAAAATTAATCTGACCCTCATGAAACAAGCTACCCCAAAATACTAAGCCACAAAAACTGGCTTTGCGAGACTGTCTTCCGCAGCTGTGATTTTTCTTTAAAGTGCAGCATCTCCTTCCGTTAAGTTAGAAGGCTTTGGTAAAAGTGACCAGTGACAGAGGTGTTCAAGGGCTCTCTTTTTAAAATCTAGGTAATTGATACTCTCCCCCACGCTTCACCCCATGGTGAAGCCATCACGTTGCTATCTAGCTGTTTGTCCCGTCTCCCACTCACTAGCCCCAGAACAGCCTTCTCCTGCTGTGTCCCTCACTCGCTTTTCTGATTGCAGTGCCCCTGCGCTCGGGCGATGTCCTGAACAGCTGCTATGCACAGAGCATAAAGTAGGGGAGAGAGGACAGAAGACCACAGAGAGGAGTTGTCCTTTGAAATATCAATTCTTAAAGAGGTTGGTATTCAGGAGCATCAGCTAGTTTGAGGAGAATAAGGCCAGGGAGCTCTTTTCTCTCCTGACCTATTTCTATTTGATCTTAATCATAATCTTACTGACAGAGACAGGGTGTGTGGGACCCCACGTCCAGAATGATCACAATGCTGACTCAAAGGAAAAACAAGGTTGTGATAATATAGACTCTAAATGTGAAAGATAAAAGGGATGGCAAGAGTTAACTTTCATAAAGGAATATTTCAGTACTTAATAAACGTTGTCTTGTGGATGTGGTAATTTTACCACATCCTTACCAGTTTCTTTGCTTCCCTCTGCATCTAAACATAGCCTATTTCAAAACCAAAACAAAATATATGTCCGCAGAAAAACACATACACAAATATTCATAGTAGCATTATTCATAAGAACTAAAAAGTAGAAATGACCCAAATGTCCACAAACTGGTGAATGGATAAACAAAATGTGATATATCCATACAGTGGCATATTATACAGCAATAAACTGACACATGCCACAATAGGGATGAACCATGAAAACATCATGCTAAATGAAAGAAGCCAGTCACAAAAGACTGCATGTTGTATGATTCCATTATATGAAATGTCCAGGAGAGGCAAATCTATAGAAACAGAAAGATTAGGCCGGGCGCGGTGGCTCACGCCTGTAATCCCAGCACTTTGGGAGGCCAAGGCAGGAGGATCACGAGGTCAGGAGATCGAGACCAGCCTGGCTAACACAGTGAAACCCCGTCTCTACTAAAAATACAAAAAATTAGCTGGGCGTGGTGGCGGGCGCCTGTAGTCCCAGCTACTCTGGAGGCTGAGGCAGGAGAATGGCATGAACCTGGGATGCGGAGCTTGCAGTGAGCCGAGATCGCGCCACTGCACTCCAGCCTGGGCGACAGAGTGAGACTCCATCGCCAAAAAAAAAAAAAAAAGAAACAGAAAGATTAGTGGTTGCTTAAGGATGAGGGGATGGGCAGATTGGGGAGTGACTGCTAATGGGTAAGAGGTTTCTCTTTGGGGTGATAAAAATGTAAAACTGATTGTGGTGATGCTTGCACAACTCTTTGAATATACTAAAAAATCACTGAATTATACACCTTAAATAGGTGAACTGTATGGACTGTGAATTATATCTCAAAAAAGCTGTTAAGATTGAACAGACAGGCTGGGCGCGGTGGCTCACGCCTGTAATCCCAGCACTATGGGAGACTGAGGCAGGCAGATCACTTGAGGTCAGGAGTTTAAGAGACCAGCCTGGCCAACATGGTGAAACCCCACCTCTACTAAAAATACAAGTTAGCCAGGTGTGGTGGCATGTACCTGTAATCCCAGCCACTCGTGAGGCTGAGGCAGGACAATCGCTTGAACCTGGGAGGCGGAGGTTGCAGTGAGTGGAGATCGAGATCATGCCACTGCACTCCAGCCTGGGTGAAAGATCAGAGACTTCATCTCAAAAAAAAAAAAAAAAACATTGGGCAGGTGAATCACTTGAGGCCAGGAGTTCAAGACCAGCCTGGCCAACATGGCGAAACCCTGTCTCTTACTAAAAATACAAAAACTAGCCAGGCGAGGTGGCACACGCCTACAATCTCAGCCACTCGGGGGGCTGAGGCAGGAGAATCACTTGAACCCGGAGGCACAGGTTGTAGTGAGCTGAGATTGCACCACTGTCCTCTAGCTTGCGTGACAGAGTGAGATTCTGTTAAAAAAAAAAAAAAAAAAAAGAGGAAAGAAGGAAAGAAGGAAAAAAGTTGTTAAAAAAAAAAAAAAAAGGGCTGGGTGCAGTGGCTCACATCTATAATCCTAGTACTCTGGGAGGCCAAGGTGGGCTGACCAATCACTTGAGCTCAAGAGTTCAAAGCCAGCCTGGGCAACATGGTGAAACCCCATCTCTACAAAAAATGCAAAAAATTAGCCAGGTGTGGTGGTGTGCACCTGTAGTCCCAGCTACTTGGGGGGCTGAGGTGGAAGGATCGCTTGGGCCTGGGAGGTCAAGGCTGCAGTGAGTTGAGATTGCGCCACTGCACTCCAGCCTGGGTGACAAAGTGAGACCCTGTCTCAAAAAAAAAAAAAAAAGAAGGGACAAAAAACCCCTCCACAATTCTCTACAACCACCACCAACTGTCACTTTTCACAAGCTCCTTCTACTGCTAAATTTTGCTCCAAGCCGCCATCATCACTAGTGGCCAAATTCACTGATACTTAGTCATCCTGCAATTTCATCTTAGAGACTCTTTTCCCTACTAAGTTCTCTGTTCCTGCCAACTCCTCCTTTTCTGCTTTGATGCCCCTTCCCTTCCTCGGGTCTCCTTTCCAGCAAACCACCAGGTCATGATGATTTCTCCTCTGTACCATTTCCTTGGCATCCATCTCTCCCTTTCCATCCCGCAGTCATTACCCTAGTTCAGGTCCTTCTGTTTCTGCCATTATCTTCTAACTGACTGCAATGGCTTTCCCTCTCCAATACATTCAGAACACACAAGCAGCAGATTAAAATGGAGACACCATCTCACTTTCTTGTTAATCCTCTCTTACCCTACAGTCTTCCACTCTAACATTAAGGTATAGTAAGAGTTTCTTAAATTCCATATATTAGAAATGCTACTTCTGTCAATAGCTCTTCTATCTTGAATCTTGCAATCCTGCCTCACAATTTCAATGCTCCATGACGTTTCATATACTTTCAGAAAATTAAAGAAGTAGATACACAATTAAAAATAAACCCATATAAAAAAAATTAACCCATATAATGACCCGAAACAAAAATTCATTGGTCACTTTTGGAGGATAAACCTGTTACGGTAGTCTCCTCTTAGATAAGAGTTTCAGTTATCCAAGGTCAATCAAGGTCTAAAAATATTAAATAGAAAATTCCAGGCCGGGCGCGGTGGCTCACGCCTGTAATCCCAGCACTTTGGGAGGCCGAAGTGGGCGGACCACGAGGTCAGGAAATCGAGACCATCCTGGCTAACACGGTGAAACCCCGTCGCTACTAAAAAATACAAAAAAAATTAGCCTGGCGCGGTGGTGGGCGCCCCTAGTCCCAGCTACTCGGGAGGCTGAGGCAGGAGAATGGCGGGAACCCGGGAGGTGGAGTTTGCAGTGAGCAGAGATCGCGCCACTGCACTCCAGCCTGAGAGACACGGCGAGACTCTGTCTCAAAAAAAAAAAAAGAAAGAAAATTCCAGAAATAAACAATTCACAAACACACCGTTCTGCACAGCGTGATGAAATCTCACACTGGCCCACTCCATTCTGCTCAGGACATGAATCCTCCCTTTTGTCAGCAGGTCCACACCCTGCACACTAGCAACCCATTAGTCATCCACATTCTCTGCTTCTGACATCATGTCATGGCTTAGTGATCCAGGATCACCTGAAGCAGATGATTCTCCTTCAGACATGTAGTCTAAAACTACATCACAATGCTTTCTCATTCACCTCACTTCATCACGTAAGCATTTTATCATCTCACATCATCATAAAAAAAAAGGGGTGAGCACAGTGCAAAAAGATATTTTGAGAGAAAGGCCACATTCACCTAACTTTTATTACAGTATATTGTTAAAATTGTTCTATTTTTAGTGATTGTTGTTAATTTCATACTCTGCCTAATTTATAAATTAAACCTTACCACAGAAATGTGTGTATAGGAAAAAGCATAGTACAGCACCGTGCAGGGTTCAGTACCATCTGTGGCTTCAGACATCCACTGAGGGTCTGGGAACATACCCCCATTGGATAAGCGGGGGACTATGGTATTTTAAAAACTGATAAATAAGGAGAACAAACCATTTAACTTTCCTTGCTGGGACAGGGCCTGTCAGGGTAATGAAATACTTGATGAGAAAGTTTCTCTTTGTAGATGTTTTCTAGCTGATAAATAAAGAAGGAGTAATTAAAATATTGTCATTTGTAAACTCCTAATGAGCCAGGTCATGATTGCCAATGGCCACTAATGTCTCCAATGTCTCCAGGCCACAATGTCTCCAGCAACACCACTATGAAGTACTTGTACCAAAAAATGTCTAACTTAAATCAGGCCTTGGATCTAACTACCATTTCATAGAGGAACATCTTCAACAAGCCCTGTGGAATATAATACCATCAGCAAAATCCACAAAATGCAAAGCTCCACAGAACCAATAGGCTAACCAGTTGCTTCAACAAATAATTTTCAAAAAAAAAAAAAAAGGGAAAGTAAACTTATAGATTAAAAAAAATAATAATATCCGGCTAGGCGCGGTGGCTCATGCCTGTAATCCCAGCACTTTGGGAGGCTGAGGTGGATCACTTGAGATCAGGAGTTGGAGACCAGCCTGGCCAACATGGTGAAACCCCGTCTCTACTAAAAATACAAAAATTAGCCGGGTGTCGTGGCATGCGCCTGTAATCTCAGCTACACAGGAGGCTGAGGCAGGAGAACTGCTTGAACCCAGGAGAAGAAGGTTGCAGTGAGCTGAGAATGCGCCACTGCACTCCATCCTGGGCAACAGAGACTCTGTCTCAAAAAAAACAAAATTAATATCCTTTTCCATCCATTCCAGCATAACTGGTACTAGAATTCCCACCTGTCTTAACCAATTAGACAAAATATGTGAAGCAACTATATCTTGGCACTGGATATTAGGCAATGCAGGACCATGAACCTTAAAAGAAAACAATACAACACATGAGCCCACACTGGCCTCAGCCACCCCCTAGAACTAACAGCAAAACACAAATAGATCCATCCTAACAGAGAATAAAAACCAAGCCTGAAAGAATCAAACAGATTTAACATATTGCCTGGCAGTTGTTTAAAACATATGTTAAAGAAAAACAACATAATCTCCACCAAGATATTATCTGTCATGCCACTTATAAAATTAAATATTACATGATTAGCCAGACATGGTGGTGTGCGCCTATAGTCCCAGCTACTTGGAAGGCTGAGGCAGGAGGATTGCTTGAGCCCAGGAGTTTGAGGTTGCAGTGAGCTATGATTGTACCACTGCACTCCAGCCTGGGTGACAGAACAAGGCCCTTCTCTTAAAAAAAAAAAAAAAAAAAAATTACATGACATGGGAAGCAGCAGGAAAACGTAATGTACAATAAAAAAAAAAACAGCAGTCAACAAAACAGAAACAGACTCTGAGGAGACCCAATAATAAAATTAACAGATTTTTAAAAAGCTGTTATAAATATGTATGTTCAAGTACTTAAAGGAAAAGATGAACATAATGAGTGAACAGGTGGGAAATCTCAACAAGAAATGGAAATTATAATGCAAATTCTAGAACTGATATGTACAACGTAAGAAGAAAAAAATGGCTCCCTATCTTTTAGAGATACACGGTAAAAAATCTACAGATGAAATAATATATCTGGAATGTGCTTCAAAATAATCCACCTGTGGGGAGGCAAAGTAACTGGGAGTATAGATGTAACAATAGTGGCCATAGGTTGATGACTATTGTAACTAGATGATGGCTACGTGGGAGTTCATTGTACTATTCTCTCTACTTTTGCATTATGTTTAACTGTCTCCATGTTCAAAAGCTAAAAAAGAAAATTCAGTCTCCGTAAAAACAAGCTGTTTCAGCTTAAAACTAGATGTTGTTCAAATGAAGTTCTGCATACACATAGTACTTCTCCCATCTTTGCCAAGTTCCCTAAGATATATAGCATCCACACTGATTTTTATGGATTTCTAATGCTTGAGGAAAGCGGGTATTTCATAGAAACTATAAATATTGGCCAGGCGCAGTGGCTCACACCTGTAATCCCAGCACTTTGGGAGGCCAAGGCAGGCAGATCACGAGGTCAGGAGATCGAGACCAGCCTGGCTAACACGGTGAAACCCCATCTCTACTAAAAATACAAAAAATTAGCTGGGCGTGGTGGCAGGTGCCTGTAGTCCCAGCTACTTGGGAGGCTGAGGCAGGAGAATGGCATGAACCTGGGAGGCGGAGCTTGCAGTGAGCCGAGATCCCGCCACTGCACTCCAGCCTGGGTGACAGAGCGAGACTTCGTCTCAAAAAAAAAAAAAACAAAAACTATAAATATCTGCTTGTATGTCATACTCTGTGTGTATACATGTTATATACACTTAGACACATGTATACACATATACAGAAATATTGATATTTTATTTACAAAATGTGAGTAGCTTATATTGTTTTATAACTTGCTTTTCCATAATAATGTATTTTGTGGACATCATTCCATACCAACAAATGCAGGTCAATATATTTTTTTTTAATGACTGCAAAGCATTCATCACTGAGGGTCTATATGCCCTGTAGTATACATTGAAATTTCATAATTTCAATGGGAGACAGAACTATTTGTAGTACAGAAAGCTGTTTCACATCAACCAATGAGTAGATAAATAAAATGTGTTATACATGGTAGCTTATGCCTGTAATCCCAGCACTTTGGGAGGCCGAGGTGGGTGGATCATTTGGGTCAGGAGTTTGAGATCAGCCTGGCCAACATGGTGAAATCCCGCCTCTACAAAAAAATACAAAAATTAGCCGGGCATGGTGGCGGGTGCCTGTAGTCCCAGCTATTCAGGAGGCTAAGGCAAGAGAATTGCTTGAACCCGGGAGGCGGAGGTTGCAGTGAGCCGAGACTGCACCACTGCACTCCAGCCTGGGTGACAGAGAGACTCTCAAAAAAAAAAAAAAAGATATATATATATATATATATATATAAAATACAGACACCATGGAATACTACTCAGACATAAAAAGGAACAAAATAATGTCTTTTGTAGCAACTTGGATGGAACTGGAGGCCATTATTCTAAGTGAAGTAACTCAGGAAAAGAAAACCAAATACTGTATGTTCTCACTTATAAGTGGGAGCTAAGCTATGAGGATGCAAAAACATACAGAGCAATATAATGAACTCTAGGGATGCAGGGGTGAAGGATAAAAGAAAACATACTGGGTACAATGTACACTGCTTGGGTGATGGGTGCACTAAAATCTCAGAATTCACTTCTAAAGTATTCATCCATGTAACGAAAAACTACCTGTACCCCAAAAACTATTGAAATAAAACATAAAATAAATAAATAAGAAAGAAAGAAAACTGTTTCACAGCCTGGGCAGCATGATGATAACCTGTCTTTATGAAAAAAACAAAAAATTAGCTGGGTGTGGTGGTGTGCGCCTAGCCACTCAGGAGGTTGAGGTGGGAGGACTGGTCGAGCCCAGGAAGTTGAGGCTGTAGTGACCTGTGATTGTGCCACTGCACTCCAGCCTTCGTGACAGAGACCCTGAAAAAAGAAAAAAAAAAGGAAGGAAGAAAGGAAGCAAGCTAGCTGTTTCAAATAGAGGAAAACACATACAAGTATGTATGGATTTAGGAGCACTTTAGAGCCAAGGTTTCATAAGTATTTCTTAATCTGTGTAGTAACATGCCATATTATAATAGAATTGGAATGTATTTGTTAAAAGATGTCATACGGCAAAACTCCATTTCCATTCTCTGGATGTCAACAGGAATGTAGTCTAAGTAATAGGAAGCTAAACTTAGGAATGTTAGCATTTTCCAAATCACCCATGAATTGCATCCCAAAAGTTTAATTATAAGTTGGTTTGGCGGCTGGGCGTGGTGGCTCATGCTTATAATCCCAGCACTTTGGGAGGCCGAGGCAGGTGCGTCACCAGAGGTCAGGAGTTCGAGACCAGCCTGGCCAACATGGCGAAACCCCCGTCTCTACTAAAAATACAAAAATTAGCCGGGCATGGCGGCGGATGCTTGTAATTCCCACTACTCAAGAGGCTGAGGCAGGAGAATCACTTGAATTTGGGTGGCAGAGGTTGCAGTGGGCCAAGATCACACCACTGCATTCCAGCCTGGGCAACAGAGCAAGACTCCGTCTCGATTTAAAAAAAAAAAGAAAAGTTGGTTTGGCAAAACTGAGCAGACATTTTCCTGCAGAAGCTATACAAGATAGCAAGGATCTCAGGGCAGTTGGCAAAAGTTTAAAGTACTTAACTCATGATGTATAACAGCCCCTCCCCTGCCTGGCTATTACATTTTTGAAAAACCACTAAGGTAACAAAATTCTCAGTGGAGGAGTCTAGGGCCTTACAGTCACAAGTGAACAAAAGTACTTCTAAGTTTTTTTTATATTTGTTAAAAATAAGTAAATGGCCAGGTGCGGTGGTTCATGCCTGTAATCCCAGCACTGTGGGAGGCTGAGGCAGGCGGATCACTTGAAGTCAGAAGTTCAAGAGAGACCAGCCTGGCCAACATGGCAAAACCCCGTGTCTACTTAAAAATACAAAAATTAGCCAGGCGTGGTGGTGGGCACCTGTGGTCCCAGCTACTCGGGAGGCTGAGGCAGGAGAATCACTTCAACCCGGGAGGCAGAGGTTGCAGTGAGCCAAGATCGCACCACTGCACTTCACCCTGTGCTACAGGGCGAGACTCTGTCTCAAAAAAAAAAGAAAGAAAATATGCCCTCTTACTTGCTGTATTAGTCTGTTCTCACACTGCTATGAAGAAATTCCTGAGACTGGGTAATTTATAAAGAAAAGGGGTTTAATTGACTCACAGTTCTGCATGGCTCGGGAGGCCTCAGGAAATGTATAATCATGGCAGAAGGCACCTCTTCACAGGGTGGCAGGAGAGAGAATGAGTGCAAGCAGGAGAAAATGCCAGACGCTTATAAAACTATCAGATCTCCTGAGACTCACTCATTATCACAAGAACAGAATGGGGGAAACTATCCCCATGATCCAATTACCTCTACCTGGTCCTGCCCTTGACACATGGGGATTATTACAATTCAAGCTGAGATTTCCTTGTTCCTCTTCATATTCACTGGGATCTTGCTTCGTGGCCCGAGCTAGACCTGGGATTCCAGTGAAGCGAGGGCTGGGAGTGAGACTGAGATAGGAGAGAGTTCCTGGGGCCCCAGGGTAGGGATTCTGTACTCTGAGGAAGGGATTTCCTGCCAGCACTAATACTTGGGAGTATTTTAGTCCCTTAAAGGCCCTTGTTACCTTCTCTCTTGGTTCCAAGAGGCTGATCTGTCTTTTCCTCTTTCCAATGTCACTACTCATAGTTTCTACCCAACCCTCCTTAGACCATGATGGAAGAGAACAAATCTTAACAGCCTCTCAATTCTGTATACTTTTAATGAGCTTAACTTTGAGCCAGGTACTGTGCTTATAAAGACAGAAAGATACATAAGACAAAGCTTCTGTTCAACAAGAATTAATAATCTAGTAAGGAGCAGAAATGGTGAGAGGAGCTAGGTAACTACTGTATACAGGGTATACTGTGACCAAAGCCACAATGAGTTGAGGCGTCACAAGAGAAACCTCATGCCTTTTTTAAAAGGTTAAAAAAAAGTCTTCCTCTATTTCAAGAAGAAATGATGCTCATAAATGCTGATAATAAATCCTGGTACATGAAGACTTGTAATGGATTGCTTTACATAAATCTAGATGGGTGAAAGGGAGGAAGAGGGTGGAGAGAGGAGTCTTCGTGAATTTACCCTTCATTTTCAATTCTTGGGGGTGGGGAGCAGGAAAACCTCTCTGCAATTTAAAACTAGCTATGGGTAGTCCAAAAAGGGGCCCTTTCTCCATCATTAAAATAGCTTCCTGATGACACATTTTTCTTCTCTCCTCTAATCAGAGGATCCACTTCTTGGTTGTTGCAACACTTTGGGATACAGTGGGATGGATTATAGGAACCAATAACTTGGCCTGACTTCCATATAATATATTTTCTCAAGACTGTCTAAACCACCATTTGTCAAAATAATAAGTGATCAAAAAGAAAGAAAAGATTAATGCTATTTCTGTTATCTGCAAAGAGATGTTATATATACAGTTGGTGCAAAGTAATCACAGTTTTTGTCATTGATTCTAAAACTGCAATTACTTTTGTACCAACCTAATACATATATACACACATATAAAAATACGTTTATACATGCATAGGTGTATATATATATACATACATACACCTATGTATGTTTTCAGGTTGTTTTTTTTTTGGCTCCTCCTCTACATTGACTATCTCCTCAGATCCTTCTCACCATTACCTGAAGCATACAAAAATGAAGTCTAAAAGCCATGATTTCTTGTGAAAAGAGGAAACAGAAAAGTAATTAGTAAAGAAAGTTTGGACTGGAACCCAGATCTTTTTTTTTTTTTTTTTCAGCTCACTACAACCTCCGCCTCCTGGGTTCAGGCGATCCCTCCCACCTCCACCTCCCAAGTAGCTGGGATTACCAGCATGTGCCACCACACCTGGCTAATTTTTGTATTTTTAGTAGAGACAGGTTTCACCATGTTGGCCAGGCTGGTCTTGAACTCCTGGCCTCAAGTGATCTGCCCGCCTTGGCCTCCCAAAGTGCTGGGTAATATTACAGGCATTAGCCACCTTGCCAGGCCTGGCACCCAGATCTTGAGAGATGTAAATTGGCTGTCTTTTCACAAGGCTACACTCTCATGCTGATGTCCATTCCTTCATGCAACCAGTCCAAAATGCTCGCTACATCACCTTCCCCATACACATCTCTCCCCTCAAATCTTCCTGTGGCCCCTTTCTCATCTCCACTAACACTGAAATACTGAAGTCTATTCGATTACCAACCTTCTTCCTCTCTAAAAATATCTTCCTCTTCACTTCTTATTTTTTATTATTTTTATTTATTTTTTTTTTCTGAGACGGAGTCTCGCTCTGTCGCCCAGGCTAGAGTGTAGTGGTATGATCTCAGCTCACTGCAACCTCCACCTCCTGGGTTAAAGCAATTTTCCTACCTCAGTCTCCCGAGTAGCTGGGATTACAGGCATGCGCCACCACGCCCAGCTAATTGTGTATATTAGTAGAGACGGGGTTTCACCATGTTGGCCAGGCTGGTCTTGAACTTCTGACCTCAAGTGAGCCACCTGCCTCGGCCTCCCAAAGTGCTGGGTTTACAGGTGTGAGCCACCGTGCCCAGGCTCTCTTCACTTTTTGTACACACTCATCCTGCACTGTCTCTGCTGAACTTTACACACTGACTTCTATGGAGTGACCACGTCATGCAGTACCGAGAAATGAGTCTTAAAAAAAAAAATTAGAGTCATGTTCAAATGAGCAATCTGCCTCTTACCATTTATGCGACCTTAGTAATGTTACTTAACCTCTCTAGCCTTACTTTTCCCTTCTGCAAAGAGAAAATAATTCCTAACTCACTGGGTTTTTGTTTTTGTTTTTGAGACAGGGTCTGGCTCTATTGCCAAGTCTGGAGTTCAGTGGTACGATCACGGCTCACTGCAGCCTCTTGACCTCCCAGGCTCAAGCGATCCTACCACCTCAACCCCCAGAATAGCTGAGACTACAGGCATGTGTCACCACGCCCGACTAATTTTTAAAATTTTTTGTAGAGACGGGGTCTCATTCATTGAGTTTTAAAAGGAAGCAAGCATATGTAAGGCGCTTAACACAGTATCGTGTACTTAAAAGGCACTTAATAAACAGTAGCTGTTACTATGAAAATAATATTTACCTCACAAAACTGTTCCTACATGCCTGACGCTTAAGTAGCTCCTCAAAATATGATAGTTTTCCTCTTCCCCCGTCCTTGGAAAAACTTTCTAGTTCTTTCCAACAAAGATTCAGCACCTAGTTCAAATCCAACAAAGATTTCCCCAATTCTGCTGCAAAGGCATTTGTATATTTACTAAAATCTCAACACTCACGCAGGATAAAACCTACTTAGAACTACCCAGACATCCTTTCTTATCTTCTTAACTTTAAGTCACTGGAAGAAAACCATCACATTTTGCAAGTCCCCAAAAAGCATGCCTGCATAAAAGCTCTAGGGAAGGGAACCGGGTGTCCAGATGCATTTCAGAATTACCATAGGTTTCCTTGCTCGGCATACAGAATAAATGTTGGTTACACTAATGATACAACCGAAGTTGGGGAAAAAAACTTCAGACAATGGCCCGCAAATCTCAAGGAGTAATTGCGAAAAGATGCCACGTGGTGACGTGTTCTAGGCGGGTGATCAGTGAACAAATTTGTATGTGTGATCCTGTGGTGTGTGAATGTGTCATCGTGTGTGCCTGCGTGTGTTCGTAAACACTGAAAGTACAGTCGTGTGCGCCGAGAAGTCTGAGCGCGGGTGCGCATCCCTTTGGACCCGGGTGCGTACCTAGTGAGCAACCGTGCGAACCCTCACGGGGCTCTCCTCCACGCGCTTACCTCTGCGGACGAGCAGGTGGACGCCACTGGGCGCCGCCATGTTGGCGTCGGTCACGTGGCCGCGAGCACTCGCTCGCCGCCCCGCCCGCTGGAGCCGGCCAGTCGCAGCCCTGCCGAAGCCCTGAGGCGTCGAGGCCGCCCGAGGGGAGCGCGCGTGCGCGCGCGGGGCTGACTGCGGGAGCCCTGGCTGGGAAGCGGCTAGGGCACCCGGGCAAGCAGCAGAACCCGCGGCCGGCTGAGTCCTCTCCAGCCGCGAGAGGCGGGCTCCAGCCGCGGCTCGCGCGCTCGCTCTGAGCCCCCGCGCCCAGGTGGGATGGAAGAAGCCTGTCAGGTAAGCGTGGCATCCAATATTTATAGCATCAACATTTTGGTGCATGGAAACGTGAAGTTGGGCGGAAAAAATAAAGCACAATCTAGTGTTCAACATAGCACTTTGTATCGTCTGCCACTCTGTTGCAAATTATTCCCCTGGATTCAGTTGAAAGGTAAAATTTGGTTCAAAGTCACCAGCTCCCCTTTTGCTGTCCCAGAATCTACATTACTCAGCAGAGACTCCAGACAACACAGGATCTGTGTGTCGCTGCAAAATCTATTCTAGGTACCCCAGTGGGTATGTTCAGGAGACTTCTCTTTCTCCAAGGACGCCTTCTGCTTGGCAGTATTAACTGGAGTCTTAATCCTAAATTTGGAGTTTAAGTATAAAAGGATGACGCCTGCCAATTGCATTGCCAAGAGAAGAAGCCTACAGAAGGCCAATTGTGAATCAGATGAGGGAGCTGATGTATGCCTACTGATGACGGTGCCCATTTTTACCAAATTCACTGTCTCTCTTACCTGTGTTCTGGGGTAGATGCCATCCTGTCATGGACCAGGTGTTATTCATCTTAGTAGCCTCCGTGCCCGGCACAGAACCCGATACCCGAGGAATGTCAGGTGAAGCAATTGAACACTGCATGAAACCAGTCAAACTGAGAATGTAACCGTTTCCAGACTTTAAATGCAGTGAAGATTGATTAGGATTCTCAGTGAATGTGTGTGATGTCTTCTAATTAATTTTTAAGCACTACACACTCAGTGAATAATCTAGACAATTCAGAACAATTCAGAAATAAGGAACAAGTGCAAGCCCCTTCCTCGCCCTCTGTACATACCATAGTCCCACTCCCCAGTTAACCACCGTGTGCTCAATTGAGATCTTTGCCTTTTACACACAGGCAAATGTAAGTATTTTAAATAGAATCATATGACTTGCTTTTTCCATTCCAGTCATCATAGGCATCAAATCTTAGAACACTTAGTTCAGACTTATTCTTTTTAATGACTATATAATCTTGATATTTTTACTTTTAAAGAGAGTGAATGTTGGCATTTCATTAGAGGACACATGCTATAATTCTGGAAAACCTGGTTTTGGATGCTTTTGGGTCACCTTGAAAGATAAAGAGAAGTAATGCTTTCCATCAGGGTAAATAAGATGCACAAGAATGAGAATAAAATGTACTCCTACCTTTTGCAAACTCATTTCAATTCCAGGGAGAGCATTTTTGAATGTGGCAAATCTGTCCTCTGTGTAACTGAGGCCAGCAATCTGAGTGCAGCAAAGGAGCCTGAGAGTTAGCTGGCCACAGAGTCTTAAGAAGTGTACAGAAAAAAGAAATCTAGACATCCCTATTCCTTAAGGCATCAAGCCTAGTTTCAAACCCATCTGAAATAGAACACATGTTCATGTGACTTAACTCAGCCAACCCTTGGAAAATAAATGAATGCTTTATTCCCCTACAACTAAAAGGAAAAGGAAACACTATGAGGACCCAGGTGGCACCAGCAGTAGTGGAATCCAGTGAGGAAATCCTCAATAAGTTCGGCATGGAATGTAGATATCTGGGATGAGCTAGAAATGAAGCAAATATGAACTTGCACAGGTGATAGCTCATCCACTGACCCTGGATCTGGCTTCTCTCATACACATCCTTCTCACCGCAGAAGGGTTAAAAGCTGCCAGCACATGTCCGCCAAAACCATCAACTTATGGGATATAAGCTGGGTGTGGTGGCTCATGCCTGTAATCCCAGCACTTTGGGAGGCGAACGCAGGCAGATCACTTGAGGTCAGGAATTCGAGACCAGCTTGGGCAACATGGTGAAACCTGTCTCTACTAAAAATACAAAAATTAGCCAGGCATGGTGGTGCATGCCTGCAATCCCAGCTACTCAGAGGCTAAGGCGGGAGAATCACTTGAACCTGGGAGGCAGAGTTTACAGTGAGCCGAGATCCTGCCACTGCACTCCAGCCTGTGCCACAGAGGAAGATTCTCTCAAAAAAAAAAAAAAAAAGGGATATATACATAGTGACCAACAAGATAAAGGGCTAGATCACTGATATCTAGGATCCCTTGCAATTTTAACATTCTGTGATCTTGAGCATTAGAGTGCTTTTATTTAGATGAGTAACCGCTACTGAGTCACTTCTCTACTCCATTTCTGTCCGTGCTCCTATCTGTGAAATGAAGGTTAATTATATTATGGCACTTCACTGATTTGAATTCTTACCATTAGTCAGATTTTGTACTTAGGATTCTTGAATAAAAAATTGAATAATTCGGCCGGGTGCAGTGGCTCACACCTGTAATTCCAACACTTTGGGAAGCCAAGGCAGGAGGATTGCTTGAGCCCAGGAGTTGGAGACCCAGCTGGGCAACATAGTGAGACCCCGTGTCTACAAAAAATTTACAAACTAGCTAGATGTGGTGGCACATGCATATAGTCCCAGCTACTTGGGAGGCTGAGGCAGGAGGAGCGCTTGAGCCCCGGAGTTTGAGGCTGCAGTGAGCTGTGATTGTGCCACTGCACTGTAGCCTGGGCAACAGAGCAAGACTCTGTCTCAAAAAAAAAAAGTTGAATAACTTTTGAAAACCAGGGTTCAAGAAATAAAGGATAACTTAATACCTTCAGTTTATGTCCAAAAATTCATTCTTGAATGTTAAAATATTTTGATTGTGATTATTATTTTATAGGTCTTTACCTTGATTTTCAAAAGATCATGTCTTATTCACATCTTTTAAAATCTTTTTATTTATAAAAGATATAAATCAAATAAATTCCAATATGCATATTTTTGAAAAACCCATTTTTCCTTCCTCCTTCTTGAACTTAATATTATAGACTTATACCATGAGTGTGTCTAAATTTGTAGTTTGTAATAAAAGTTAAATTATGCAGGTTCTGTAATGTATGTATTGAATTTTTAATTGAATATTTGCATTTTTAAATGCTCTAAGGGATTATGTGACATGAAGTAAATAATTTTTTAAAAATGTTTGTCTTATAGTAAATAACATCATCTTGTAATTTGTCTCACAAGTTTAGATTTATATATATATATATTAGGATTACTATAAGATATTTGAAAACACAGGCTGGGTGTGGTGGCTTATGCCTGTAATCCCAGCATTTTGAGAGGCCAAGGCGGGCAGATCACCTGAGGTCAGGAGTTCAAGATCAGCCTGGCCAACATGGCGAAACCCCATCTCTACTAAAAGATGCAAAAATTAGCCGGGTATGGGGCGGGCACTTGTAATCCTAGCTATTCGGGAGACTGAGGCAAGGAGAATAGCTTAAACCCTGGAGGCGGAGGTTGCAGTGGGCCAGGATGGTGTCACTGCAGTCCATCCTGAGCGACAGAGGGAGACTCTGTCAAAAGAAAGAAAGAAAGAGAGAGAGAGGGAGGGAGGGAGGAAGGAAGGAAGGAAGCAAGGAAGGAAGGAAGGAAAGAAGGAAAGAAGGAAAGAAGGAAAGAAGGAAGGAAGGGAAGGAAAGAAGGAAGGAAAGAAAGAAGGAAGGAAGGAAAGAAAAGAAAGAGCACAAACCATGAAATAGGGGCCAAGGTGCTTACATATCTCTAATAAAAAGCTGTTTTATGTGAATACGTTGTAAGATTAACTGATATAATGTGGCTGCTGGGGGAAACTGGTACCCCGGGACCACACAGCTTCAGCGCAGTTGTCATCTAGACCCAGGGGCCTCATTCTCCCTTCCTGACCCTGCCTCTTTGTTTTGCCATCTGAATCCGTAAAGTTAGCCTTTTGATTTGATTTCACGATCATTTCTTAGCAACTCTGTGGTTGGAGAAGAATCTCCGATCTTGGCCTCTAGTTTCTCTAATTTTAATATGTTGGTATGCTACTTGTTTACATATTTTAAGTCAAATGAACATTCTTTTCAGGAACTAGGAGTTCTGCATAAACATAAGCCGCATGTACAACAAAGATCTGTCTTAGTAGCTGATTGGGCCCCTCTAAAGTTAGCGTCTATGTTTGAATGATTATAGGTTCAGGCAGACAGTTTCTAGGGCACTCTCAACTAACTTGCTGGCAGAATGTCATGTTTCCTATACCAATCATTTGAGACAATCATGAATATGTTACTGAGTAATCTAAAGGTACTGTTAGAGAAAATGTGTAAATATTCCATGTTTTGCGAGGAAAAGTAATGCCATATGTGAGACAGTTGTGGAAAATCAAGTGGATTTATCTTTGCTGTTTGTGCCCTGTTCCTTGATCTTTAGCAGTGCCAAGAGGGAGCCAGGACAAGAGAAGGAGGATGTTAGTTGCATGTGATCCTCCTGCCACTCTCATTTTTTATTAGTCTAATGACATTTTCCCAGTCATATAATTCCTATGCAAATGATACTTTAAGCCCCACCCCTTCCTAATGGGATTGCCCTACCTGAGCCTCTTCCATACTGAAATTCTGAGGATTTCAGGGATCTAGAGCCATTTATAGGCATAATCCAAATGGGCTCAGCAAATAGCATGCTGCAACCTCCTGAGCAGTCTGTCAAGGGAAGGGGAGTAGAATGGGACCAGACAGGGCTAACTTAACTGTAGGGTAAGACCAAAACATTGCCCCAAGGAAGTTGTTGATATCAGGCCCAGTCTGGCTAGCATTCGTTTCAAGTTTGTCCAACGCTTTGGCTTAAAAGATGTTATAGGAGATGTAAAAACAGCAGTAACACTCCAACATAGTAACATATCCATTGTTGGAGCAGTAGCCCATCTAGAATCGTGGCAGGAGCTGAGGGAACGAGGGAAGGGAAGGGACGGCTATAGGGAAGAGCATGGAGATGGTCCCAGACCCTTTTCACTGGTGCATTAAAGCTTTCTGATAATACTGCCTGCTTCGGTCAGAGTTGGCTTGGGAACTGTGCAGGCTTGAGGGACAAGGCTTCCCTGACCTGATGTCTTGGGACTGACTCTGAGTGTTGGGTTAAAGCAGAAGTGTGCAATTGCCTCATGGAATCTAAATGAAAGTGTGAACCATAAGAGGCTGCCATCCATTCCCAAACTGCCAATGCCTGGAAAGGTAGTTCCTGCTTATACACTTCCAGAGAATGAAGATTCCATTCAGAATAGGGGGAAAAGGCAACAAATTCCCAAGCGAATCTAGCAATCAACCAATCAATAAATATGTAAGTGCTACTCTAAGCTCCAAGGAGATATGATACTGTCTTTATTCTCAAGAAACAAATTGGAAACGAACTGTGCAGGCTTGAGGGACAAGGCTTCCCTGGCCTTGAATTAGTCTCAGCTTTCCAATTTGTTCTTAAGAAACAAATTGGAAGAGACTAACATGCTCACAAGATTGTCCATAAAACAAGACCAAATTGTACCCTCTTGACTATAAGCCCCATGGAGCAATGCCAGGGGTCACAGATTGTAGCCATCCCTGGCTGCCAGGAACTGAGGAAAATGGTGAACTCTAATTATCTAAGTTCCCAGGAAATTATACCTATTTAATCTCCTTCCTTCAAATATGTGCTCTTTGAAAAACATTCCAAAAAAAAAAAAAAGAGAGAAATGTGTAATATAGAAAATAGAAGTCCCTCACATTCAGGTAATTACTGTTAACAAATTGATGTATATTCATTCATCTGGACTTTTTTTCTATGCCTATACTCATTTGCTGGCCTTTTTTTTTATTTTTTGAGACAGGGTCTTATCTGTCACCCACACTGGAGTGTGGTGGCACAATCATGGCTTACTGCAGTCTCAACCTCCTGGGGTCAAGTGATCCTCCTGCCTCAGCCTTCTGAGTAGCTGGAACTACAGGCACACACCACTACACATGGCTAATTTTTCTATATTTTGTAGAGACTGGGTCTCACTATGTTGCCTAGGCTAGTCTCAAACTCCTGGGCTCAAGTGATCCTGCCACCTTAGCCTTCCAAAGTGCTGGGATTATAGGCATGAGCCACTGTGCCCGGCACTATTTGCTGGACTTTCAAAGGGAAGATACCCATTTTTATCACGACCAGTCACACAGGTATATAGAATAAAAGACAGCAGACTAGGCAAGTCACATGCAAAAGCATGGGAACACACAATATTATTCATGTCTTTATTGCAGTCTACTGTGCATTCTCTCTCTTCCTTTTGCCTTCACTCTGCATCTGTTTCTCTTCTTTCTTTTATTTTTCTCTCTCTTGTAAAATTACTTATTTTCTTGTGGCTTTTTTCCCTTTCCCTCATGAAGTGATGATATTGGTTATCTTCCCATATTTTTCCATCTTTGTTTACTCTTTTGCTATATTTATGGTTCTATGTTTGCTGTTACGTTCTTAGTGGTTTTGGTTTAAAATATTTGGTCCTGTAGGACTGTGTGAGGCCAGTGCCTGTGGAAAGCAGTTTGATCATTAATATCAGAGGTTGAAAATGTTTATAATTTTGCCACTTCCTGCATATAAGTATGAAATAGTGTTCCTTAGTCAGTTAGCAGTTACACAAAAGAGACTGCAATAAGAATCTCTGAAGTGGAGATCATGAAATAAGAAGAGATTTAATAATAGAAAGAGAAAACTAGCTGTATGTCCCTTTCTCCCCTCCCACTCTCCACCTCCACTCCCCAAAATGGCTGAGAAACTAAGCAGTAGTGCATTTTTTAACTTCTTCTGCTTGCCTCTCACTGAACACATTCTATACTCAAGACTGAAACCGTTGAAACAAACAAGAGGGCAGATGCTGCCACGACCTCTCTTCCCATTGAACTGAGCTCCTCTGTGCTCACCCCATCCACTTTAACCCAGAGAATAACCTGTGTGGAGTGCATTCTCCTCATCTGAAGCACACACAAACATCACTGCATTTTCTTTTGCTTGATAAAGGATAAAGGAAGAAAGCAGCAGCTGCTCTAGGACCAGACAGCAAACAAGCCTCTCTGTGGTAGCACCACGGCCTTCACAAAAGGGGATTCAGAGAGCCGGGCAAACACACACATCCAGCCCAAGACTTCCGCACAGATTCACCTGCCAAAATTATTAATTAAACATGTAACGAGCTGTCCAGGTGAACTGAGAGTCTAAAGCACATTTTCCAACTAGTCTTTTATTAAGATGGAGGAGCGAGAATATGGTTGAAGAACTAGAAATGGCTTCAAGATCACCTAATACAACTCTAACCCTACCCCTTCTAATTTTAACATAAAGACAGTGAGACCCAGGGAGGTTATAGAAGATTTATTCCATTTCAAGCCTGTATATATTTTAACACTGGAGGTTTTTAAAAACATTTTTTTTACATTAGTACAGCACTCCTTGCAGCTTCTTACACACAAGAGCTCAGCAGATATTCATAAATGATGATATTATACTTTTATTGCATTATATTTCTCCACTGGGTTAATGGGATGCCCAAAAAATTATGAAGTATGTTTTTCAGAGCTTTGGTTGTACATCCAGTGTCTACTGACTCATAAAACCAGTGTATCAAAGATGGAGACAATTTGCTTTGATAACAAATTTTTTCCAGATTCGTCTTTTACCAGGTAAGTACATGGTAAATTATGATTCCTTTGATAATCAGTTTCCTAAGAAAAGAATTGAGTATTGCTTTTTTTTTTTTTTTCCAAAGAAAGCTCTTCAGTATCTTTTGGTGAATTCTGCCTGGTCGAAGTCAGGCAGAGCACGATTTCATTTGTTAAGGGTGCCACTTGGTTGCTTTAGGTAAACTTTTATTTAAAAAATTTCCTGGATTTACAGTTTTATTTTATTTGACAGTAATATGGAGCTTCAGTGGCAGAACAATATACCTGTAGTAATATTAAACAGATTTTTATATCAAAGACATATATAGTGAAAAAATAACCATACAATTATAAAAAGGTTTACAATGAAAAGCAATAGGTCGGGTGCAGTGGCTTATGCCTGTAATCCCAGCACTTTGGGAGGCTGAGGCGGGCGGATCACCTGAGGTCAGGAGTTCAAGACCAGCCTGGCCAACATGGCAAAATCCTATCTCCACTGAAAATACAAAAATTAGCCAGGCATGGTGGCGTGCGCTTGTAGTCCCAGCTACTCAGGAGGCTGAGACAGGAGAACCGCTTGTACCCGAGGAGGCGGAGGTTGTAGTGAGCTGAGATTGCGCCACTGTACTCCAGCCTGGGTGACAGAGCAAGACTCCATGTCAAAAACAAACAAACAAACAAAACAATTCAGCATCAGAGCTTTGAAGATATTGTTCCATTATCTTTCAACATGCAGTATGGCTGATAAACTCTAATGCTGAATCCCCCTTCCTCTCCCAGGTTGTCTGTGTTTTCCCCTGTGAAAGCATTCAGGATCTTAATTTTATGCTGTGGATTCTGAACTTAATAATTTGGCCTGTGAGTCGATCTTTTTAGGTAAGTAACTTAATAATTTGGCCTGTGAGTCGATCTTTTTAGGTAAGTGGTAGCGGTACAGTGGTTGAGAATCTAAGTGAGTCATATTGCATGGGCCAAATTTCCAGCTCTGCCACTTACTAGCTGTGTGACCTTGGTGAAGATAACCTTCCTAGGCCTCACTTGAGGATACCAAGTACCTCAGAGGGTTGTTAATGAGAATTGAGATAACTCATGCAAGTGCTTAGCCAACAATAGAAAGTGCTCAGTAAATGTTAGTAACGCTGCTCAAACTTCAGGGAGCTCTTATAGTCTGAAGATTCATTTCTTCAACTTTGAGGCATTATCCTCTTCCTTTGGTTATGTTCTGTTTGCTCTTCCTCTCCGAAACGAAAATTATTGGTTATTGAATTTCCCACACTGATCCTCTGTTTTATCTTTTTTTCTCATATCTTCGGTCTCTCTTTTTGATGTTCTGGGAAATTCCCTCAACTTTATAGCTCAGTCTTTCTGCCGCTTGAGTTAGAGCAATCATTTTTAATTTCTCAGAGCTCTTTCCTACTCGCTGATTTTTTCCTTTTTCATACTGTTCTTTCATATATGATATGTCTTTTCTTACCCAGTTTTTATTTTAAACACTTAAAAAGATAGAGCAGGTCGGGCAGAATGGCTGACACCTGTAATTCCAGTACTTTGGGAGGCCGAGGCAGGCTGATCGCTTGAACCCAGGAGTTCGAGACTAGCCTAGGCAACATGGCGAAACTCCATTTATACCTCTGCCACCCCCCAAAAAATATGTATATATAAAATTAGCTGGGCATTGTAGTGTGCACCTATGGTCCCAGGTATTTGGGAGGCTGAGGTGGGAGGATTGTTTGAGCCCAGGAGGTGGAGGTTGCAGTGAGCCAAGATTGCACCTCTGCAATCCAGCCTGGGTGACAGACCAGGACCTTGCCAGTCAATCAATCAATCAGTCATACAGGCTGAAAGAACCATACTGAGAACACCTGTATTTAATTCCACCTATATTCAACACTTTTACAAACTTTGTCACATTTGCTTTATACACACACACACACACACACACACACACATACATGCCCCAATACACAAACATATTTTTCTGGACCATTTGAATGTAAGCTACAAATGTCATGACTCTTTGCTCCTAAATGCTAAGGCATGTGACTCTCAGGAATAAAGACATTGTCCTACATAATAACAGTACCATTATCACGACTATGAAAATTAACAAAATTCCTTACCAATTGTGTCCATATTCAAATTTTCCTTCGTTGGCCAGGCACTGTGGCTCACGCCTGTAATCCCAGCACTTTGGGAGGCCAAGGCAGGTGGATCACGAAGTCAGGAGATCGAGACCATCCTGGCTAACATGGTGAAACCCCGTCTCTACTAAAAATACAAAAAATTAGCCGGGCATGGTGGCGGGCACCTGTAGTCCCAGCTACTCGGGAGGCTGAGGCAGGAGAATGGCGTGAACCCAGGAGGCGGAGCTTGCAGTGAGCCGAGATCGTGCAACTGTACTCCAGCCTGGGCGACAGAGCAAGACTCCGTCTCAAAAAAAAAAAAAAAAATTTCCTTCTGTCTCAAATATGTGCAAAATCTACCAAAATGTACAATGTCCATACCTTTTCACTCAGCGATTCAATCACTACTTATCCTACATACACACTCCCAAATATACAAAATGGTGTATACAAAAGGCTATTTGCTGCAGCATTGCTTGTAGTAGAAGATAGGAAGCAACCTAAATGTCCTTTAATACAGTATTGGGTCAAACATTGACATCGAGCTATGGAATATTATACAGTTGTTTAGAATTAAGGTGTTTAGAACTGAAGTAACATGTACTGGTAGAGATATGCATTAACTGGAAAAGATACTCAGAGTACTGCATGTAGTATATCAATATTTGTGTTTGTAATAGAAATGGACATTTGTAGACTGATAAATCTGGGGGATAAAAGAGAAACTGGTAAAAGTAATTGTAAAGAAGTGAATTGGGTGGCGGTGTGGGAGGGCAGTTTATTTCTCATCAAATACTTTCATAGATTTTAAATTTTTAATTTTTACTTAGAAAGCCCATGACTGCATTGATTTTTTTTTTACTAAGTATATGTTACATAATTTTAAAAAAATAGTGCTTAAAGTAGATGGATATTCAATCCCATAGAACAATGATTCTCAATGAAGGATGATTTTGCTCCCCACAGGACATATCTAGAGACATATTTGGTTGTCACAACTAGTGGTGGGGGTGGCACTACTGGCATCTTAGTGGGTAGAAGCCAGGGATGCTGTTAAACATCCCACAATATATAGGTCGGCCCCACACAAGAAAAAATTATCTGGCCCAAAATGTCAGTAGGACTGAAGCTGAGACACCCGGAAATACAGTGATTCTTAAGGATGCAAAGGTTTGAGAAGAGCTAAGCAAGACTAAAGGAATAAACAGAAAGGTGCATATGCCTAACCATTCAAATCATTGTGCATTTAAGATAAGGCCAGGCACAGTGGCTCACGCCTGTAATCCCATTTTGGGAGGCTGAGGTGGGTGGATCGCTTGAGCTCAGGAGTTTGAGACCAGCCTGGGCAACATGGTGAAACCCTGTCTCTACCAACAACAACAAAAATATATAAAAATTAGCCAGGTCTGGTGGCACTTGCCTGTGGTCCCAGCTACTTGGAGGGGCTGAGGATGCAATGAGCCGAGATCATGCCACTGCACTCCAGCCTGGATGACAGAGTGAGACCCTGTCTCTAACAACAAAAAAAAAGGTAATTCAAATTTCTAGCCATGAAAGAGATGGTTGGATAAGTCCAATATGCTCCTGTTTGCATAGAGTTTATTCAAATTGGGACATTATAAAGTTCCCACAACCTTAGTTTATGGTGATAATTTTAACTGTTGTAAAGGTAGTAGAGTCACTGTAAGAGTGAGGTTAGACTAATGTCCATGACTTCTAGGACTTTCATCTATTGGTATACTTGTATATGTATGCATAGCACATATACAATAGGCATTGCAGCATTGTTTGTAAAGGAAAATATTGGAAACAACATAAATATGTTACTGGTAGAGTAATGTATGATATATCCACACAATGGAATACCATGCTGCCATTAAACAAGATAGCTCAAATAATCCCCAAAAGTAAAAAAGCAGTTAGAAAACGTGGTAGGTCATCACATATACATATGGTATATAAAAAATATATATACATACATGCTCCCTTTTGCATGTATCTCTGAAAGATACACAAGATATTGATAACTGGTTGTTTCTGGAGGAATGCAGTGAGGAAATTTTCACTGCATGCCCTGTTGCTTTTTATTTCCGTGTGCATACTTCCTATTGAAATATCACATATACGTAAACACAGCTCTGCCCAACTCAGTGAGTAAACTAAATGCACTGTATAATTCCACCACACCTCATAAAACAAGAATGAAATATTTATAATAGAAATGTAAAGGCATATGGGAACACAGAAAAGTTGAAGATTAAATGTTGAGAGGAAGAGTAACTTCAGGCCATATTTCAAGAGGCATTGATAATTTCAGTCATTGCTATCAAACAGACTCTTAAGGTTTTTTGTGTTTTTTTACTTTTTTCTTATTTTTAGAGATGGGGGTCTCTCTACGTTGCTTAGGCTAGTCTTGAACTCCTGGGCTCAAGCTATCCTCCTGCCTCAGCCTCCTAAGTAGCTGGGACTACAGGCATGTGACACCAAGTCCAGCTTTTTTTTTTTCTTTTTTTTTTTTTTAGAGGACAGGGTCTGGCTTTGTCACCCAGGCTGGAGTACGGTGGTGTGAACATAGCTAACTGCAACCTTGAACTCCTAAACTCAAGCGATCCTCCCGCCTCAGCCTCCCAAGTAGCCTGGCTTGCACCACCACAGGTGTGCACTACCAAGCCTAATTTTTCTTTTCGTTTTGTTTTGAGATGGAGTCTCACACTGTTCCCTGGGCTGGAGTGCACTGGTGCAATCTCGGCTCACTGCAACCTCTGCCTCCCAGGTTCAAGCGATTCTCCTCCCTCAGCTTCCCAAGTAGTTGGGATTATAGGCGCCTGCCACCATGCCCAGCTAATTATTTTTATTTTTAGTAGAGACGGGGTTTCGCTATGTTGGCCACCAAGCCTAATTTTTAAATTTTTTTGTAGACGGGGGCTTGCCATGTTGCCCAGGCTGGTCTTGAACTACTGGCCTCAAGCAGTCCCCCACCTTGGCCTCCTAAAGTGTTGGGATTACAGGCATTAGCCACCGTGCATGGCCGAGAATACTTTTCTTAATACTTGCTCCTCTAAAAGTCCCTCTTAGAACAGCCTAGTGGGCTGGCATGCTTACTTGGCTGGCCTACTTGATGGAAGATGAGATGGAGTAGAAGTCAGGAGCCTAGTGTATATTCCTGGCTTTGCCAGTTACTTGTAGTGTGGCCTCTGGATTTACTGTCCATTTATAAATTGACAGTGTAGACTGCAAAACATACATTTTTTAAAAAAACAGGTAATTCATATCAAGGAAAAGATTTTACACACGCACACACAATTCAACCTTCCCAGTAAAATAAATGTAAATAAGATATTTTATCTATGGAAACAACATCCCACGTCATTGAAATTCTGTTAAAATTGGTATATACATTCACATCGGGTAGTATTTTAACGATTCTGCAAAATATGGCATGTTTATGTAATAGAGCCATAGACATATTCTTATCCTTTAACTCAGTTAACTACATTTCCCAGGAAATTATTTCACAGATACAAATATATACATGCACAAAGATATACTACTATGTTCCAAGTATATACACAGAGATATACAAATGCAAAAATAATTTTATTTGGAAGTATTGAGTACTTTATTAAATCAGTATTTAATAGTTAAACTGGCTTTTAAATTCTAAGAAAAAGAACTTAAGAATTTAAGGAATTAAATCAGTTGACCTCTCAGGTGTATGATTCTAATCTTGTTATCAAATATGGCCTTAGTAGCTTTGCTGCCAGCTCTTCTCTAGTAGGTAAAGATGGCAGTTAATCAGAAGGTCTGATAGATTTTCAGCCTAGACAAGGCTCTGGTACAACAAACTGGGGCCCCAGCAATTTGGAGACAATCAGGGACACAGTCCTTTTTCCCTCCCTTCTCACACAAACTATGTCACGTATAAACTATGAATATCCTTGTGTGACTTAGAAAAGTGTTTTATTTTAGACATATACCACATCTACACCCACATCTGAGTATAAAAGTATAAGGGTAAGGAGAAAGGATATGAAAACGACAAACACAGAACCTAGAACAGGGAGGGAGTGAGCCTAGAGATCATTCTAGTACAACCTCAGTTTCACAGATGAAAAACCTGATGCTCAGAAGGAAATATATGTAGAGAAAACGCAATTTATAGAGGACAGGGAAAAAGTAAGAGGCCGGGCACAGTGGCTCAACGCCTGTAATCCCAGCACTTTGGGAGGCCGAGGGCAGATCATTTGAGGTCAGAAGTTCAAGACCAGCCTGGCCAACATGGTGAAACTCTGTCTCTACTAAAAATACAAAAATTAGCTGGGCATGGTGGCTCAGGGCTGTAATCCCAGCTACTTGGGAGGCTGAGGCAGGAGAATTACTTGAACTCGGGAGGCAGAGGTTGCAGTGAGCTGCATTCCAACCTAGGCAGCAGAGACTTCGTCTCAAAACAAACAAACAATAGGAAAATCAGCATCACATTTTCTTTCTGGTTTTTATACAAAAAAAAAATCTTGAAAGATAATTGGTTTAGATGGTATTGATGCTTTCTTCAGAGCTCATCTTTAAGTATCAGCTGTGAACTGTCAATAAAAAAATTAAAAATTAGCCAATTTAGATGAAAGACAAATTGCTTTCATATCATTTCAGAAAGGATTTTAACTGAACTAGTTCATTTTATCTGTAGCAAATTATGTACACAGATATAATCTCTCAGAAGTCAACAAGTTTTATCTATATACAGGCTTCTGAGATGAGATGGTTTGAAACTTTTATAGCTCCCTCATTTTAAGGGAACAGTAGTGCTGTTGGTATGCTGCTGGCCACAGCTATTTTGTGTCCAGAGGCTACCAGTTACTTCTCTGACAGATTTTACGGATGGAAATTGATCAAAGGACGAGATAATGCCTGTCCAACTTGGGATTCTGCCCCAAGCATCCATCAAATCAGATTTTTAAAAGTAAATTTCAACTTACATCCTGTTTTTGTTATATAATACCTTGTTTACTAGCATACATTATAAACATCTCAAACTTTTACTTTGAATGATTCTGTTTCCAGCAATCTATTTATACTCTACTTCATTAAAAACAAGACTATATTAAGCAGTTTGTCATTATTTTTTCTTGCTGTATTTCAATACCTTGGTAACCTTACAGCAAATCCGAACAGATGGGCGTCTCACTTTACACAAGATATATTTTAATAATGGTGTGTAAATTGTATTTTATACACTGATTTCTATCTTCTATTTTTATTTATAGAATGTTTATGCTAACTTCTAAGTTATCTTCAAATAATATTTGATGCCAAAATTTTGGCTTTTAGGCTGTATCTAGTTTGATTTCCCTCGTACCTGCCTTCCCAAACAGTTAATAGAGTTAATAGGATTTTATTTAAAACAAAATAAAACCTATACTAAGAACATTTCCTATTATGAAAAATCAGTAAGAACTTAAACTACAAGGAAAAAACCAAACAACCCCATTAAAAAGAGACGTGAACAGACACTTTTCAAAGAAGACATACGTGTAGCCAATAAGCATATGAGTAAAAGCCCAATACCACTGATCATTAGAGAAATGTAAATCAAAACCACAATGAGGTACCATCTTACACCAGTCAGAATGGCTGTTATTAAAGTCAAAAAATAACAGATGCCGGCAAGGTAGTGGAGAAAAGGGAACACTTATAAACCGTTGGTGGAAGTATAAATTAGTCCAACCACTGTGGAAAGCAGTGTGGCAATTCCTCAAAGAGCTAAAAACAGAACTACCATTTGACCCAGCAATTCCATTACTAGGTATATACTCAGAGGAATATCAATCATTCTACCATAAAGACACACGCATGCAAACATTCACTGCAGCACTATTCACAATAGCAAAGACATGGAATCAACCTAAATGTCCATCAGTGACAGACTGGATAAAGAAAATGTGGTATATACACACCACAGAATACTATGCAGTCATAAAAAAGAACAAGATCATGTATTTTGCCAGGACATGGATGGAGCTGGAAGCCATTGTCCTTAGCAAACTAACACAGGCACAGAAAACCAAATACTGTATGTTCTTACTTAACAAGTGGGAGTAAATGATGAGAACACATGGACACAAAGAAGGGAACAACAGATACTGGGGCCTACTTGAAGGTGGAGGTTGGGAGAATAGCAGAAAAATTAACTATTGGATACTAGGCCTAGTATCTGGGTGTTGAAATAATCTGTACAAGAAACCCCCAAGACACTAGTTTACCTATGTAACAAACCTCCACATGTACCCCTGAATCTAAAAGTTAAAAAAGAAAGAAAAATCATATTGAAAAAATAAAATTACCAGGATAACCTTAAAGAAATGTTTTAAAGGTGTCAGATGTAAAATCTTAGAAGCAAAGTGTGGAAGGAATGATAAGTATTTAAGAATGAGGTTTATTGTAAGTATTTAAGAATCATATCATCACACATTAACATATCACAACTAAGCATTTATTATACTGTTTAAGAAGGGAAGCAATTGCAGTAGTATTTCAGAAGCTTTATCTTTCTTTAAATGCAATATATGCTCATAAACTCTAAACAGTATTTTAAAATATACAATCTCTCCAAAAGAAAATATTCAACTAAAGATAGATAACTTTTAGTATAAGCAAAATGTCACAAGATTTTAAAATTAAAGTCATCAGATTTTTCACAGCACATTGTACAGAAAATTTGCAAGCTTCCTGTACAGAGCAGTATAATCTTTACTCTTGAGCAAGTCGTTCAATAACACGCCGGTAATCTTCCACTAGTTCCTGAAAACTCTCTTCCAGCTGTTCATGTTGCATGCTTATTTCTATTTGGTTCATCTGGTTTGTCAGTTCTTCTGGTCTGAGACATTTTCTCATCTTAGCAAGATCTCTCTGCTTTTTCTAAGTGACAAACAATTATTTGTTAGACGAAGAAAGTAAATATATTTCCTTATAGTCTTACAATTTTAAGTCTCCAATGTTAAAAATAAGAATAGTATGAATACGCCCAAACTTGTCCCACAATGTTTTTTTTTTGTTTTGTTTTGTTTTTTAAGGAAGCTTAAACATAATGTTAACCATGAATTGCAAACCCTCTAAAAAGAGTTAACAAGAAGACCTGGTATTTGTGTCCAATGATGGTAAATACAGACATGTGACTAGCAGCCCCCTCCAAAACTTTAAAGAACTCTGGGCAGTATAGACACTCAAATATTTGCTTAATAGATAGAAGACATTAGCTGAAGAAAGACAACTGAGATTAAGTGCTATTATTCTTCATTTTACTATTCAGTCATTAATTAATTACATTTTAAATTCCACCCAGTGAAGTACTTACGGGCCACATGCTAATTTTAACATAAACTGTTAGAAATGTTTCAGAAAGACAAATGGAAAACTGCTATACTTTAAAAATATATTAAATAGCATTTGAGTCTTTATTAAGTTCCAGACATACATTATCATACTAAACCCTCCTGGTTTGACTTAGGATACCGCTATGCTAAGGAGTTTGCAACAGGTAGCTGATAACAACTTTTATGCAGGACACTGTGTCAGAGATGTTTAGGATGGGACTGGAGGACTGGGCAGCTACTGCAGTAGTTCAAGCCAGAGTTGATGAAAGCCTAGATCAAGTCAGCAGCAGCAGAGATGGAGAGGACAGGGCAGATTTAGGGGAGAAAATACTGGGTGATATGAGGAAGGAAGAATGAAGAATAACTCCAGGATTCCTGGTTGGGTGGCATTATTGCAAATATGAAGCTTTCATGTTTCGGATATACTGTTCTAGAACTCCTGGGCCCAAGTGATCCACCCACCTTGGCCTCCCAAACTGCTGGGATTACAGCCATGAGCCACCACACCCGGCCCAGTTCTGGCCTTTTAGACTGGTGAACTGGCTGGACAGGTAAAGGTACTTAATAATAATATAAAAAAGAATTATCATTCTTTAAGAGTAGAAAATACTTGCACTTATGAACTACAGAGGTTCCCATTATTTGGCATTAGCTGTGTGACTACTATTTGTACTCAGAATTTCCATCTTTCATTTGTTATATTTTATATAAAAGTCACATTAATATCTAAAATATATAATTCAATAAATTATTTTACTTTAGTAAAATCTTAATAACTCTTAAATGTTGCCATCTATACTGCTCTCTGTGCCCAAATTTCATCATTAAGACATTTTCTAGCTAACAAATATTACTTAAAGGTCAAAACCTTTGGAAAATACCATTTTTACCCATTTTCTGATGTTTCTGAATTGATAACATCAAATAATAAAATGCTACTTTGGATAACTTTTGAGGAGACCATTATAATTTATTACAAACCTGCTATATGCAGATGATGGTCTGTAAAATAGAAAAACTATTAAACTGCAATGAAATGACACTATGAGGAACTATTCATACATCTGTGTATGAATTCAAGATAAAATGATTTAGTCATAGGCAAATAATAATTTTATATTCAGAATGTGAACAGAATTACAATGACAAATTAGGAAATACAGTTGCACTGCAAAGTAAAAAGATGCTATGAAGGAAAAGTTGGGATTCAGCAAGTAGTGTCAGCCAATGAACCATCAGCATTCAAGACTGGCTCTATAAAGCAGAATCCATGGCAAATAAAACTTAAATTTTCTTTAAATTTACAAAGGAAAACCAAAACTATGTGTACCTGATACAGTTAGTTAATTTACTTTCTCAAATTGTAATGTAGAATCAACTTGGTCACTTATGTTCCCAGCTATTGTGATGTATAACCCTATAGGTATAGTATATATAAATGCAGCAACAACATTTTATCATTGAGCAACTGTACTCAATAATTATATGTTGAATAAATTAAATATTCTGCCAATCATCCCACTACTCAGCTGCAACTAGATGACAAATTTTCTTCTTTTTTGAGATGGAATTTTGCTCGTCACCCAGGCTGGAGTACAATGGCGCAATCTTGGCTCACTGCAACCTCTGCCTCCCAGGTTCAAGCAATTCTCCTGCCTCAGCCTCCGGAGAAGCTGGGATTACAGGCACCTCCCACCATGCCTGGCTAATTTGTGTATTTTTAGTAGACACAGGGTTTCACCATGTTGGCCAGGCTGGTCTCGAACTCCTGACCTCAGATGATCTGCCCGCCTCAGCCTCCCAAATTGCTGGGATTATAGACGTGAACCACCGCACCTGGCCTTTTTTTTTTTTTAAATTTTTTTTTTTTTTTTGAGATGGAGTCTTGCTCCATTGCCCAGCCTGGATTGCAGTGGTATGATCTCAGCTCACTGCAACCTCTGCCTCCCGAGTTCAAGTGATGCCCTTGCCTCAGCCTCCCAAGTAGCTGGGATTACAGGTACCCACCACCACACCCAACTAATTTTTGTATTTTTAGTAGAGGCGAGGTTTTGCCATGTTGGCCAGGCTGGTCTTGAACTCCTGAGCTCTGGTGACCTGCCCACCTCGGCCTCCCAAAGTGCTGGGATTACAGGCATGAGCCACCACGCCTTGCCTAGATAGCAAATTTTCATTCACATAAGGTGGCATAAACAATATCCATCCTGACAATGTCCAAATGATAAGGCCAATTTGATCTAGGAGGGAAAATATGGAAGATGACGACGAAGTGGGAAAAAAGGGCAAGAAGAATGTTTAAAAATATAATAGTACTAACATGGTTTCGGCTATGGTAAAGTACAAAGATTATATTAATAAATAGCAATAAAGGCTATTTTTAGGAAGAAGAAAGCAAAAGCAAAGAGAATATATATGTATAACTTTGCTTTTATCTGGGAAGAGAGAAAAAAGAGAATATATATATATAACAACTGAGAAGACAAGAAACTTGGGAAAAACAACATAATTTGTTAGGGAAGAGACTAGGCATTCAGATTTTTTAAAGATGCATACAAATGAAAGAAAAGCTAACCATGGTAGACTATCCTTGGGATAAGTTTGTTTGTTTGTTCTGAGACACAATTTCATTCTGTCACCCAGGCTGAAGTGCAGTGGCACAATCTCAGCTCACTGCAACCTCCACCTCTTGGGTTCAAGTGATTCTCGTGCCTCAGCCTCTCAAACAGCTGGGATTACAGGCACGTGTTATCATGCCCAGCTAATTTTTGTATTTTTAGTAGAGATGGGGTTTCGCCATGTTGGCCAGGGTGGTCTTGAACTCCTGACCTCAAGTGATCCACCTACCTCGGCCTCCCACAGTGCTGGGATTACAGGCGTGAGCCACTGCACCCGGGTTTTTTTTCTTTTCTTTTCTTTTCTTTTCAGATGGAGTTTTGCTCTTGTCACCCAGGCTGGAGTGCAATGGTGCAATCTTGGCTCACAGCAACCTCCACCTCCTGGATTCAAGCGATTCTCCTGCTTCAGCCTCCCAAGTCACTGTATTACAGGCGCCCACCACCAAGCCTAGCTAATGTTTGTATTTTTAGTAGAGACAGGGTTTCACCACGTTGGCCAGGCTGGTCTTGAACTTCTGACCTGAGGTGATCCACCCGCCTTGGCCTCCCTGAGTGCTGGGATTACAGGTGTGGGCCACCACGCCCGGCCATGAGTGAGAATTTTTATAAATTACTGGAAGAATATTTCTACTTTTGTAAAAGTTAATTTTACAAAATGACTTGGACTCTCTCATATACTGATATTTGGTAGCTTTTCTTCTGTTTTAAACAGTGAAAAGAATACAGTGTTTAAGATTCTTGAAAGTCCTACCTTATATGGGCTAATTAGTCTTCTTTTAATATCCAGTCTGTAGCTTCTGTATTGTTCGGCATCACTCATGTCAGTTACCAGTAGTCGAAGAATTTCATAAACCCTTCTAGCGTGTTGCTAGAATGAAACAAAAGAAAATGCGAACATTTTCAAAGTAAAAATAATGACACTTTCCCAAAAGAACACAGGATATATTTAATATCTGCCATGAGCAAGGAATTGTGCTAGAAACCAGAGGAAAGGCAATAAAAGTAGTTGCCCTCAAGCAGTCTAGTGGGTAACACAAATGATTATGGTATGGATAATTTAATGTGGCACGATCATAGTTCACTGCAGCCTCAACCTCCTAGACTCAAGCCATCCTCCCACCTCAGCCTCCTGAGCAGCTGGGACCATAGGCATATGCACCACACTCGGCTATTTTTTTTTTTTTTTTTTTTTGTAGAAATGGGATCTCACTTTGTTGCCCAGGCTGATCTTCAACTCCCAGCTTCAAGCAATCCTCCTGCCTCAACCTCCCAAAGTATTAGAGTTACTGGCGTAAGCCACTGCCCCAGCCTTCATGACAGATTTTAAATAGGAATGTAAGCAATATGCACAAATTTTGAGTTTTAAATAAGTCACTCTTTCAGCTACAAAGAAATGGTAGCAAAAAGAAGTGCATAGAGACCAATCAAGAAGCTGAGTTATTACATCACATAAAAAACGATGAGGGCATGAACTGGAACAGCACAAGAAGACCAAGGGGTCAAGGACTCTAGAAACATATGAGAGGAAAAACTGAGAGAAGGATGTGAAAATGTGAGTTTTCACAGCCTAGGAGAGATTTGGGAGGCAGCAGAAAATAGAAAATCTGAAGAAAATTCTAGTCTAAGGGCAAGGATTTAAGCAATGTCAGTATATAGGTAAGAGTTAAAACCATAAGGCTGGTTAAGGTCACCTGAGGAAAGCATATACAGTGATAAAAGGAGAAAGGTCAGAAACCTGCTAGTACAGTGACAGTTAAAAAGCAGACAGGGCTGGACATGGTGGCTCATGCCTGTAGTTCCAGCACTTTGGGAGGCCAAGGTGGGCAGATCGCTTGAGCCTAGCAGTTTGAGAACAGCCTGTAGGAACCCTGTCTCTACAAAAATTAGCCAGGTGTGGTGGCGTACCCCTGCAGTCCCAGCTACTTGGGAGGCTGAGGTGGGAGAGTCATTTGAGCCCAGGAGGTTGAGGCTGCAGTGAGCCGTAGCCGTGATTACACCACTGTACTCCACCTCAGGTGACAGAGCAAGAGACCCTGTCTCAAAAAAAAAAAAAAAAGGAAAAGGAAAAAAAAAGACAAATGGTATCAAGGAAATATCAGAAGAATCAGGAAGTTTTTGGTAGCACTGAAGCCAAAGGAGAACCACAGTTTTTCTGTTGATGTTGTTTCACTTATGTATTTATTTGGGCAGGGAGTTGGGGTATGGATAGGTTGGGAAGGTAATATTTTCTGACTTCCTGGAAGGGAACCTGAGTTGAACCTGAAAAAATGAGTACTATCTGGCCAGGCAATTAGGAAAAGGGAGTATTTCAGGTAAAGAGAACAGAATATGTAAAGGAATACAGAAGGAAGAAGGATGTGGCAGAGTTGGGAAATGGCTAGAAGATGAGTAAAGCCAGAGCATGTGGCAAAGTAGCCAGAGCATGTGGCAAAGTACTAACAGGCTGAAGCTAGCAAGGTAGGCAGGGTCCAGATTATCATGGGCTCTTTGTGCTCTAGGTAGGGAGTTTGAATTCTTTTTTTAAGAAAGCACCATTAAAAAAAAAAAAAAAAAAATATATATATATATATATATATATATATATATATATTCATATGCCTGTTCTTTTAAAAGCTGAGCTATTAAACAAATTTCTTTTCTTTTTTTTTTTTTTAAGATGAAGTCTCTCTCTGTTGCCCAGGCTGGAGTGTAGTGGCATGATCTCGGCTCACTGCAACCTCCGCCTCCCAGGTTTAAGCGATTCTTCTGCCTCAGCCTCCTGAGTAGCTGGGATTACAGGCACGCGCCACCACGCCCAGCTAATTTTCGTATTTGTAGTAGAGACATGGTTTCACCATATTGGACAGGCTGGTCTCGAACTCCTGACCTCGTGATCCACCCAAAGTGCTGGGATTACAGGCGTGAGCCACCTCGCCCGGCCTACACAAATTTCTTTTTTTTTTGAGATGGAGTCTCGCTCGGTCGCCCAGGCTGGAGTGCAGTGGCACCATCTCAGCTCACTGCAACCTCCGCCTCCCCAGGTTCAAGCAATTCTCCTGCCTCAGCCTACCGAGTAGCTGGGACTACAGGCGCATGCCACCATGACCAGCTTTTTTGTATTTTTAGTAGAGGTGGGGTTTCACCATGTTAGCCAGGATGGTGTCAATGTCCTGACCTCATGATCTGTCCGCCTCGGCCTCCCAAAGTGCTGGGATTACAGGCGTGAGCCACCACTCCCAGCCCATCTCACATACTTTCATAATCCAAATCCTACTCATTCTTCAAGGTTTATATCAAATGCCATCCTTTCTATGAAATAACCACTGATTTCCTTGCTTACATAAATGTAATAAACTTTCTTCTCTGAACTTCCATATTTATTTTTTCTGTACCTATCTTAAGACATTTACCACTTTAAAATTTAAATAAATATATAAAAGTATATAAAATGAAATACGTGTTTTACTTCAACCATTCTTCCCACCAATAATGTCTCCAGGGGTACAACTACTTTAAAGAGTAAAAATAAGATCCTATTATCCATCTTTCCTCTGCTTGTTATGCTTAATATAGCAATAACACCTATTATCTTCCCATTTTATTAATGAGGAAACTGAGGCACGAGGTAAATTAAATTGCCATAAATCACAGAGCAAGTGTTGGAGCTAGATTTGAACTCAGGCAATTTGGCTTCAAAGCTGTACTGTTAACCATTGCTAGTTCCCACACATGTATTCTTAATGTCTTTATAATATTTTAGTTAAGGTATACACTTCAAAAATTTGTTTGTAATTTAAATCTGTTTTCCTCCTACAGAATAAAAATACCTTATTTATTTTGAACTTCTGTTGTGCCTCTATCGCCATATCTTCATTGAATCCTTGCATTAATTTTTCCCGGGAAAAACAGGGCAAATCTTGACAAAGCTTCACAAGCACAAAGTCTCGTAATTTCACATAGCTTTTGGATGGATCTTCCGCTAAATAAATAAAGCAGAATAATATTAACATTTCCCTGATACTCAATATAATTTCTTCATCTTTTGCAATCTCAACATATATGCTAGGCTAGGAAGACAAATTAAAAAAAATTACACATACAAAATTAATTACACATAAAAAAATACAAAATTTTTAATGTGTAATTTAAAAAATTACACATACAAAAGTTACAACATGAAAGGATTATTCCTTATAAATAAAACTATTATCTTTGTCAAAATAATAAATCCAATCCTTTTGCAAAGACATTTGTATTAATATTTGTGAATCAAAAGCTACCCATTTCAAATTTAAACTTTTTTTTTTCTTTGAGACAGAGTCTCACTCTGTCACTCAAGCTGGAGTGTAGTGGCATGATCATGGCTCACCACAGCCTCAACCTCCCAGGATCAGGTGATCCTCCTATTTCAGCCTCCCTAGTAGCTAGTACTACAGGCTCCCGCCACCACACTCGGCTAATTTTTGTATTTTTTGTAGAGACAGGGTTTCACCATGTTGCCCAGGCTGGTCTCGAATTCCTGGGCTCAAGTGATCAACTCGCCTCAGCCTCCCAAAGTGCTAGGATTACAAGCATAAGTGACTGCGCCCAGCCTCAAATTTAAACTTTTTAACTGGCATGGTATCACATGCATCTTAGTTTTGATTCCAATTACAGTAGCTGTGTAAATGAGAGATTCAAATTTGGATGAACAGGTCAGGCACAGTGGCACACGCCTGTAATCTCAGCACTTTGGGGGACCTGAGGCAGGCAGATCACTTGAGGCCAGGAGTTAGAGACCAGCCTGGCCAACATGACAAAGTCCTATCTCTACTAAAAATAAAAAATTAGGTTGGGCGCAGTGGCTCACGTCTGTAATCTCAGCACTTTGGGAGGCCAAGGCAGGCAGATCACCTGAGGTCAGGAGTTCGAGAACAGCCTGATCAACATGGTGAAACCCTGTGTCTACTAAAAATACAAAAATTAGCCAAGCATAGTGGTGCATGCCTGTAATCTCAGCTACTTAGGAAATTGAGGCAGGAGAATTGCTTGAACCTGGGAGGCGGAGGCTGCAGTGAGCTGAGATCGCACCACTGTACTCCAGCCTGGACGACAGAGCGAGACTCCTTCTCTAAACAAACAAACAAACAAACAACAAATTAGCCAGGTGTGGTCACGCACATTCCTCCCAGCTACTCAGGAGGCTGAAGCATGAGAATCACTTGACTCTTGGAGGTGGAGGTTGTAGTGAGTGAGCCAAGATTGCGCTATTGCACTCCAGCCTGGGTGACAGAGACTGTCTCAAAAAAAAAAAAAAAAAAAGGAAAAACTTCATAAAGACAAAGGACCCAGAATAGCCAAAACAATATTGAAAAAGAGCAGGCCAGGCACGGTGGCTCACATCTGTAATCCCAGCACTTTGGGAGGCCAAGGCAGGTGGATCACGAGGTCAGGAGTTCGAGACCAGCCTGGCCAACATGGTGAAACCCCGTCTCTACTAAAAATACAAAAATCAGCTGGGCATGGTGGTGGGTGCCTGTAATCCCAGCTACTTGGGAGGCTAAGGCAGAAGAATCACTTGAACCCAGGTGGCAGAGGTTGCAGTGAGCCAAAATTGTGTCACTGCACTCCAGCCTAGGCAACAGAGCAACTCCATCTGGGAAAAAATAAAAAAAGAACAAAACTTGAAGGACTCAACACGTTCTGATTTCAAAACTTACTTCAAACCTATGATAATCAAGACCATGTGACACTAGCATAAGGACAGACATACACATGAATGGAACTGAACTGATAGTCCAGAAATAAAACCATAGATTTAGGTCAGTTAATCTTGGAGAAGGTTGCAAAGACAATTCAATGGGGGAAAGAAGAGTCTTTTCAACAAATGGTGATGGGACAACTGGATCTCTATCATCAAAAGAATAAAGTGGGATCCCCTTTCCTCACACCATACATAAAAATTAACCAAAATTGATCACAGTCCCAAATTTAAGAGGTAAAACTACAAAACTCTTAGAAGAAAACACAGGAGTAAATCTTCATGACCTTTGGTTAGACAATGGTTTCTTAGATAATGAGACCAAAGCATAAGCAACAAAAGAAAAAACAAATAAACTAGGTGACAAAAATTTTAAAACTCTTGTGTTTCAAATGACACCAGTAAAAAAATGAAAAAAATAACATACAGAATGGGAGACTATTTGCAAATCATGTATCTAATAAAGCACCTGTATCCAGATTCATATAAATTGGTGTACAAACTCTTATAATTTGGTAAAAAAAAAAAGACCCAACTAAAAAATGGGCAAAGGATCTAAGTTGACATTTATCAATAAGATATATACAAGTGGATAATAAACACATGAAAAGATGCACAGTCTCCCTAGCCACAGGAAATGTGAATCAAAACCACAATGATATACCACTTCATACCTACAAGGATGGCTAGAATTAAAAACACAGTAACAAGTATTGATGAAGATGTGGAGAAACTGAAACCCTGATACACTGGTAGTGGAAATGTAAAATGGTGTAGCCATTTTGGAAAATAGTCTGGTGATTCCTCAAAAAGTTAAACATAGTTACCAGATTTCCCATAATTTCCAGTCTTAGGTATATGCCCAAGAGATATGAAAACACAGGTCCACATAAAAATTTGTACATGACTGTTCCTAGTAGCATTATTTATTCATAAGAGCCAAAATGTGGGAATAATCTAAAATGTTCAACTGACCAATGAATAAAATGATATAACCACACAATGGAATATTATTTGGCAATAAGAAGAAATGAAGTACTGTTACATGCTGTAAGAATGCACCTTGAAAACATGCTATGTGAAAGAAACTAGTCATATATTGCATGATTCCAATGTCCAGAATAGGCAAATTTATAGAGACAGAAAGTAGATTAGTGGTTGCCTAGGGATAGGAGTTGAGGGGAGGAAAGGAGTGCTAACAGGGACTTCTTTTGGGGGTTTCTTTTATGGGGGAACAGAATATTCCAAAATTAGATTATTCGCTAGGGCCGCTAGCACTTTGGGAGGCAGAGGTGGACAGATCTCTTGAGACTAGAAGTTCGAGGCCAGCCTGGCCAACATGGCAAAACACCGTCTCTACTAAAAATACAAAAATTAGCCAGGTGTGGTGGCACATTCCTGTGATCCCAGCTACTCAGGAGTCTGAGGCATGAGAGTTACTTGAACTCAGGAGGCAGAGGTTGCAGTGAGCTGCAATCACACACTGCACTCCAGCCTGGGTGACAGAGTGAGACTGTCTCAGACCAACAGAAAGATTATGGTGATGGTTGTGCTGTAAATATCATCTTAAAACTGTCTACTTTAAGTGAATGAATTGTATGATGTGTTAATTATATACCAATAAAGCTATTTTTTTAAAAAGCCTGAGACAGGGTAATGTCTCATGATTCCAAGAAACACATTCATTCATTCAACTGATTTGTACTAAATACCTTTTTTATGCTTCTATGCCACAGTTAATTATACACATCATATGCATGTAGTTATTAAGTGCTATTTGACTATGACTTTAAAATAGGAAGAATTGAAATCAAGTCACTGCATCAATTTGGGATGAAATTATGATCTATTAAGAATGGTGAAATCAACAGTAAAACAAAATAAGTAAAATACAGACCTACACAGAAAATAAACCTAAGACTGTTATGTAATTTGTCACCCTATCCCATTCTTCAGTCTTTTCTCACTTTAATTTACCTGCATCATCCAGTTATACAAGCCACCCAGAAACCTGGAGGACATTTATTTCTTCTATCTGCTTCCACCAGTATTTTTGTCAACTAATAACCTTTTTTAAACTCATTCTCCTTACCTATTCTCCCCTGTGTTATAAAATATAAACTGAACTCTGACACCACCCTATATTAAAATTGTTCAAGCATATAAGAGAGGAAAGGAAGGAACAGAAAAAATACTTGAAGAAATAATGGTCAAAAACTTCCCAAATTTGATGAAAAACACTGGTCAACACATCTAGGAAGCTCAAACTTCAACTAGGAAAAACATAAAGAGATCTACACCCAAACATGTCATAATCAAACTGTCAAAAGTGAGAGAAACAGAAAATCTTTAAAGCAGCAAGAGAAAAATGACTCATTAGAAACCAAGGAGGTCAGAAGTCAGTGGGATGACATATTCAAAGTACCAACAGGAGAAAAAAAAACCTATCAACCAAGAATTCTGTATCCAGCAAAACTATCCTTCAAAATAAAGGTGAAATAAAGATATTCCCAGAAAACCAAAGACTGAGGAAATCTGGTGCTAGCTGACCTGCCCAAAAGAAGTATTAAAGAACTCCTTCAGGCTAAAAGAACATAGTACCACTGAAATCTACATGAAGAAATTAAGAATACTCATAAAAATATATATAAAAGTTAGATTATTTTTTCTCTTTTCTTCTTTCAACTAATTTAAAAGACAATTACAGGCCGGGCGCAGTGGCTCACGCCTGTAATCCCAGCACTTTGGGAGGCAGAGGCGGGCGGATCATGAGGTCAGGAGATCGAGACCATCCTGGCTAACACAGTGAAACCCCGCCTCTACTAAAAATACAAAAAATTAGCCGGGCGTGGTGGCAGGCGCCTGTAGTCCCAGCTACTCAGGAGGCTGAGGCAGGAGAATGGCGTGAACCCGGGAGGCGGAGCTTGCAGTGAGCCGAGATCGCGCCACTGCATTCCAGCCTGGGCGACGGAGCGAAACTCCGTCTCAAAAAAAAAAAGACAATTACATAAAGCAATAATTATAAACCAGTGTTTGGCTTATAGTAATACATAAGGATGTGGCCAGGAACAGTGGGTCATGCCTGTAATCCCAGCATTTTCGGAGGCCAAAGCAGGCAGACTGCTTGAGCTCAGGAGTATGGGACCAAAATGTACAAAAATTTAGCCAGGTGCGGTGGCATGCACCTTTAGTCCCAGCTACTTGGGAGGCTAAGGCAGGAGAATCGCTTGAACTTGGGAGGCGGAGGTTGCAGTAAGCCCAGGTCACACCTTTGCACTCCAGCCTGGGCAACAGGAGTAAAACCCTGCCTCCAAAAAAAAAAAAGAAAGAAAAAAAAAATGTAATCCTATTGAGTAGCTAGGACTACAGGTGTGTGCCACCACACTCTGCTAATTCTTTTTTTTTTTTTTTTGGTAAAGAGATAGGGTCTTGCTATGTTGCCTAGACTGGTCTGAAACTCCTGGCCTCAAGTGATCCTTCCTCCTTGGCCTCCCAAAGTACTGGGATTATAGGCATTAGTCACTGAAACCAGCCTAAGAAAATAACTTAAAAAAAATTTAAAAAACCACAAAGGAATTGAAATGGTTCAATAGAAAATATTATTTAACACAAAAGAAGGCAGTAAAAAAGAAACAAAATAACAAAAAGGGTTAGGTGTGGTGGCTCACACCTGTAATCCCAGCACCTTGAGAGGCCAAGGCGGGAGGATCACTTGAGCTCAAGAGTTCAAGACCAGCCTAGGCAACATAGCAGGACCTCGTCTCCACTAAAAATAAAACAAATCAGCCAAAGTGTGGTGGCATACGACTGTAGTCCTAGCTACTTGGCAGGCTGAGAGGGGAGGACAGCTTGGGCCCAGGAGTTTGAGGCTGCAGTGAGCCATGATCATGCCACTGGACTTCAGACTCTGACAGAGCGAGACCCTGTCCCCCCTCCCCACCAAAAGAAATGAGACATACAGAAAACAGCAAAATGGCGGGCATAATTCCAAGCATAGTAATAATTACATTAAATGCATGTATATTAAAATATTCTAATCAAAAGACAAAGCGTGTCAGACCGAATTTTAAAAGTTCCAACTATATGCTGTCCACAAGAGAAACATTTTAGATTCAAGATGGATAGGTTCAAAGTCTAATGATGAAAAAAGAAGGCTGGGTGCTGTGGCTCACGCCTTTCTTTAATCACAGCACTTTGGGAGGCCAAGGCAGGCACATCACCTGAGGTCAGGAGTTTGAGACCAGCCTGACCAACATGGTGAAAACCCATCTCTACTAAAAATACAAAAATTAACCAGGTGTGGTGGTAGGCACCTGTAATTCCAGCTACCTGGGAGGCCAAGGGAGGAGAACTGGTTGAACCCGGGAGGCAGAAGTTGTAGTGAGCCAAGATTGTGCCACTGCACTCCAGTCTGAGTGACAGAGTGAGACTTTGTCTCAAAAAAAAAAAAAAAAAGAAAAAAGATATACCAAGCAAACAGTATGCAAGCTAGAGTGGCTATATTAATATCAGGCAAAATAGAGTGTAAGGCCAGGTGCAGTGGCTCATGCCTGTAATTCCAACACTTTGGGAGGCCAAGGCAGGTAGATCGCTTGAGCTCCGGAGTTTGAAACCAGCCTGGGCAATATGGCAAAACCCTGTCTCTATTTTTTTTTTTTTAAAAAAAGAGTTTAAGACAAAAAAGGGGCACATTTTATAATGATAAAAAAGTTTATTCATCAGGAAGATATTACAATTATAAACAAATGCACAACTAACAACAGAGTCCCAAAATACATGAAGAAAATACTGACAGAATTAAAGGGAGAAATAGACAATACAATAAAAAGTCTGAAATTTCAATACTACACTCTCAATAATCGATAGAACAATTAGACAGAAAAATGGCAAAGATATAGAAGGCCTGAACGGCACTATCAATCAACTTGGCCCAACTGATATTTACAGAACATTGTACTCAATAACAGCAAAATACATGTTCTTTACAAGTGTACAAGGAACAGTCATCCAGGAAAGACTTAATGTTAAGCCAGGGATCAATAAACTATGATGGCCCATGGGCCAATCTTGCCTGTGGCCTTTTTTTGTATGGTATGTGAACTAAGAATGGTTTCTAAAGGGTTGTTTAAAACAACCAAAACAACAACAAAAACCAAGAGTATGCAACAGAGACTGTGTGTAGCTTGCAAAGCATAAAATACAACCTATCCTTAAAAAAAAAAAAAAAAAAAGTTTGCTGACCTCTAAGCTTGAACAGAAAACAAAACTCAATAAATGAAAAAGGGCTGGGCATGATGGCTCACACCTGTGATCTTAGCACTTTGGGAGGCCAAGATGGGGGCATTGCTTGAGCCCAGGAGTTCCAGACCAGCCTGGGCAACATGGCAAAACCTCGTTTCTACAAAAAAAGTAAAAATTAGCTGGGTGTGGTGGCGTGCACCTGTAGGCCCAACGACTTGGGAGGCTGACGCAGGAGGATCACTTGAGGCCAGGAGGTTAAGGCTGCAGTGAGCCATGATTGTGGTACTGCACTCCAATGTGGGCGACAGAGCAAGACTCTGTCTCAAAAGATAGCTACATAGGTAGATAAATAGACAAACAGAATAAATGAAAAAGGTTCACTGGAAGGTCATGCAAAAATTAAATATAAAATCACATAAATAAATGAAAAAGGACCAAAGTCATACAAAATATGTTTGTTTTTTTTTTCTTTTTGAGACGGAGTCTTGCTCTGTTGCCTAGGCTGGAGTGCAGTGGCGCAATCTTGGTTCACCGCAAACTCTGCCTCCCAGGTTCATGCCATCCTCCTGCCTCAGCCTCCCAAGTAGCTGGGACTACAGGCACTCACCACCACGCCTGGCTAATTTTTTGTATTTTTAGTAGAGATGGGGTTTCACCATGTTAGCCAGGATGGTCTCGATCTCCTGACCTCATGATCCGCCTGCCTCAGCCTCCCAAAGTGCTGGAATTACAGGCGTGAGCCACCGCTCCCGGCTTTTTTTTTTTTTTTTTTTTTTTTTTTTTTTTTTTTTGAGATGGAGTTTCGCAGTTGTTGCCCAGGCTGGAGCGCAATGGTGCCATCTCGGCTCACCGCAACCTCTGCCTCCCAGGTTCAAGCGATTCTCCTGCCTCAGCCTCTCAAGTAGCTGGGATTACAGGCACGTGCCACCACACCCGGCTAATTTTGTATTTTTAGTAGAGACGGGGTTTCTCCAAGTTGATCAGGCTGGTCTCGAACTCCTGACCTCAGATGATCTGCCAGCCTCCGCCTCTCAAAGTGTTGGGATTACAGGTGTGAGCCACCGCGCCTGGCCCTAAAATATGTTCTTTAACAACAGTGGAATTAAATTCAAACTTTACAAAAGGAAACATGGGAATCCACATTATTTAGAAATTGAACAACAAGCTTTTAAATAATCCATGGATCAAAAAAGAAATCACAAGGAAAATTAAAACATATTTTGAACTGAATGAAAATGAAAGCACAATTTCTAAAAACTTGTGATGCAGCTACATCAACGCTTATATTTATATATAAATGTATATTATGTGTAAATATTTAGGTATTTAAATGTCTATATTAGAAAAGAAAGGCCAGGCATGGTGGCTCACACCTGTCATCTCACCACTTTGGGAGGTCAAAGTGGTCCAATCATTTGAGGCCAGGAGTTCAAGACGAGCCTGGCCAACAAAGCGAAGCCCTGTCTCTACCAAAAATACAAAAATGAGCTGGGTGCAGTGGCCCCTGCCTATAGTCCCAGCTGCTCAGGAGGCTGAGGCCTGAGAATCGCTTGAGCCTGGGAGGTGGAGGTTCTACCACTGCACTCCAGCCTGGGTGACAGAGCGAGACTCTGTCTAAAAGAAGAAAAGAAAAAAGACATCAAATCAATATAACCTAAGAGTCACTCTTAACTAGATAAGGAAGGGCAAATTAAACCCAAAGTAATAAGAAGCAATAATAATAATAGAGTAGAAATCAATGAAAAAGAAAACAAAAATAGACAAGTTCACATAAACACAAAGTTGGTTCTTTGAAATGATCGATGAATTGACAAACTTTTAGTTAGAATGACTGAAAAAAAAGAGAGAAAACAACATTTACCAAAATCAGGCATGAAAGAAGGGATATTCCTACCAACTTTACAAAAATCACAAGAATTAAAAGGGAATATGCCATGAACTTTATGCCAACAAATGAGACAATTTAGATGAAACAGACAGCTTTTAGAAAGAAATTACCAAAATGACTCAAAAAGTAAATGACTATGTGAACTGACTATAACAGAGACATTTAATTACCAACTAAAAATCTTCCCACAAAGACAAGTCTACAACCAGATGGCTTTACTGGTAAATTCCATGAAACAACCTGAAGAAGACATAACGATGATCCTTCACAAACTATTCTAGAAAATAGAGGAAACAGGCCAGGCACAGTGGCTCACACCTGTAATCCCAGCACTTTGGAAGGCTGAGGCGGGCGGATCACCTGAGGTCAGGAGTTTGAGACCAGCCTGGCCAACATGGTGAAACTCCATCTCTACTAAAAATATAAAAATTAGCCATGAGTGGTGGCGCAGGCCTGTAGTCCCAGCTACTTGGGAGGCTGAGGCAGAAGAATCGCTTGAACCTGGGAGGCAGAGGTTGCAGTGAGCCAAGGTGGTACCACTGCACTCCTGCCTGGGCAACAGAGTGAGACTCCATCTCCATTAAAAAAAAAAAAAAAAGAAAGAAAATAGAGGAAACACTTTCCAACTCATTCTATGAGGCCAGAGTTATGCTGACACTAAGGATCTAAGACAAAAACTACAAATCAATATCCCTCATGAATGTAGATACAAATGTCCTCAACAAATATTAGCAAACCAAATCTGGCAATATATAAAATGAATTACATACCAGAACTAAATGGGATTTATATCAGAAATGCAAAGTTGGTTTAACATCCAAAAAAAATCAATTAATGTAATATACCATGTTAACAAAATAAATGAGAAAAATTCAATACATGCAGAACAAAGCGTTTGACAAAATCCAACATCAATTCATGATAAAAACGCTCAATAATCAACTATCTAGAAATAGAAGGGAACTGCCTCAATTTCATAATTAACACATATGAAAGCTATAGCTAACATCATCCACAATGGTGAAAGACCAAATGCTTTCCCTCTAAAACTGGGAGCAAGGCATAGATGTCTGCTTTCACCATTGCCAGTCACCATTATATTGGAGTTCTCAGCTAAGCAATCGGGTAAGAAAAAGAAAGAAAATGCATCTGACTGCAAAGGAAGAGGTAAAAATGTCTTTATTTACAGACAATGTGATCCTGTATGTGGAAAATTCTAACCAAAAAACTACTGCAACTAATAAACAAGTTCAGTAAGAGTGCAGGATAGAAGATCAATATATAAAACCCAACTGTATTTCTACATACTAAAACAATCAATGATCCAAAAACAAAATTAAGAAATTAAGAAAATAATCCCATTTCCAACAGCATCAAAAATATTTACAAATGAAGTTAACAAAAGTAGTGCAAAACTTGTATACTGAAAACAACATTGTTGAGAAAAGTTTTAAAAGATCTAACTAAATGGAGATATTTCTTTTTTTTTTTTTCTTTTTCTTTTTTTTTTTTTTTTTTTTTTTTTTTGAGACAGGGTCTCACTCACCCAGGCTGCAGTGCAGTGTACGATCTTGGCTCACGGCAGCCTCAACCTCCTGGGCTCCAGTGATCCTCCCACCTCAGCCTCCTGAGTAGCTGGGCCCACGGGTGCTTGCCACCATGCCTGGCTAAATTTTGTATTTTTGTAGAGATGGGATTTCATCACATTGCCTAGGCTGCTCTCGAACTCCTGGGCTCAAGCGATCCACCTGCTGTGGCCTCCCAATGTGCTGGGATTACAGGTGCAAGCCACCAAGCCTGGCCCAAGACATTTCATATTAATGGATTAGAGCAGTGATCCCCAACCTTTTTGGTACCAGAAGTGCCAAAAATATCTAGCACCAGGGATTTTGTGGGAGGCAATATTTCCCTGGGGATGAGGGGAACAGACAAGGGATGGTTTCCAGATGAAACTGTTCTACCTCAGATCAGTCATCAGGCGTTAGTTAGATTCGACCTACATCCTTCACATGTGCAGTTCACAATAGGGTTTGTGCTCCTATGAGAATCTAATGCCACCACTGATCCGACAGGAGGTAGAGCTCAGGCAGTAATGCTTGTTCACCCATCATTTACCTCCTGCTGTGTGACCCAGTCCTAATAGGCTCTGGACCAGTACCAGTCCGTAGCCCGGGATTTTGAGACTCCTGGATTAGAGGATTCTGAATTGTTAAGATGGGAATTTTCTTCAAATTAATGACAGATTCAATGTAATCCCTCAATCCCTATCAAGACCCAAGAGACTTTTTTTTTTTTTTTTTTGCAGAAATTGGTGAGCTTATGCTAAAATTTTTATGGAAATACAAGGGACATTATAAACAAAATAATTTTGAAAAAGAACAAAATTGGAGGACTTTCACTTCTGATTTCAAGACTCATATGTGGTTGAGGTGCTGCTTTGCCAGAGCCTCTGTGCCTAAAGGAAGGAGAAAGGGAGGCCACAAAGGCTAAGCAAGGCAGTACAATATTCCCCAAGCAGATCAACGCACAGCTCCAAGTTGAAAAGCAGAAGGCCAGAGAAGACACAAGAAGAGAGTGGAGAATGGAGGCTGCAAGTGACCCCAAAAAAGAAGAAATCTCTAGCATCAGGCAAGAGATTGCCTGAGAATGAAGATGACTGACTGCCAACAAAAGTACAAAGGCACAGAACAGCTCATTGACATGAAGAACCCCAATTGGATGCCATAGATAACCAGAAAGGTCACACAACTGAATCTGGGCAGGCCAAAGGAGATTTCAAGAAAAGAAGACATTGAGAAGAGAAAGCAAAAGAGCATTACATGAAATTGCATTTAGCTGGGGAGACAGAGCAGGTGATTATCTGGAAATAGCAGGAGAAAGCCAAGAGGAAGAAAGAGAGGAAAGCAAAAGATGATTCATGTTTGTCAGGAAAGTGAATGCAGTCACTCTCCCTGAAGAAGTAAGCATGGACTATATAGGAGCAGATACCAGGAACTGGGCCATGCTGCCAAAACCTCTGCTGTGCCTTGCCCACTCTGTGCTGTCGCCACTGCAGCAGCCCTTTACAGCTAGGAGACCCCACAGCTTGCTGCCTGTGGGGGTTGGGGCAGGGCACCTGCTATAACTTTGTGTGTGCCAGGCCAGGTGCAGCTGCTCACACCTGTGATCCCTTGCTTTGGGAGGCCAAGGCAGGAGGACAGCTGGAGCCCTGGAGTTCAAGACCAGCCTGGGCAACATAGTGAGACCCCATCTCTACAGAAAATACTTTAAAAATTAGCCAAGTATGGTGGCATGTGCCTGTAGTTCCAGCTACTTGGGAGTCTGAGGCAGGAGTTTTGCTTAACCCCAGGAGTTCAAGGCGCAATAAGCTATCACTCCACTGCACTCCAGCCTGGGTGACAGAGCAACACCCTGTCTCAAACACTACCCCTACCTCACCAAAAAACAAAAAAAAAAACAACAAAAACAAACAAACAAAAAAAAAAACAAAAGAAAAACCCTGGAAAGATGCAGATAGCATTTCATATGTAACCGTTTAAATGTTTTCTTAAAAACTATCTTTAAGAGTTCAGGATTCTGGTCGGGGGCCTGGGAGGAGTGCCTTAGAAAGTAGGGTTTTGTCAGGTACATTACACAGTAGGGGGTGGTTGTGCCAGGGGTTGAGCACTGATGAGTTTGCAACATGCAGCCCCTATGTGTGTTGCTTGGGTGCTCACTCAGAAAGGGGCTGCCCTTTGGGACCCTGTACTCCTGTGTCCTTGAGGGTCATGGCCCAAGCCCAGCCAGTCCACTCTGAAGCCTCCATCTCTACCCTTCTTTGTCCCATTCCCACCTGCCTGGCCAGGGCTAGGACCCATTTTTAACCCTACACCATCGAGCATTTCAAGAAACTTCTGTTTACCTTGCAGCACACAGGCAAAATATGTTCCACAAATTCAACTCGTATATTTGACAGGCTAAACTTGACATTATCGTTTTAAAAATAAATAAATAAATAAAAAATATAAAGCTATATCAACCTAATCATGACGGCTTGGTAGTGGCATAAGGGTAGAAGTATAGATCATTAGAGAGCCCGGTAATAAACCTTCACATTTATGGTCAACTGATTTTCAAGAAAAGTACCAAGGCAATTCAATGAGGAAAGACACTCCGTTCAACAAATGGTGCCAGGACAGCTGGATATCCACATCTAAGAAGATGAACGAGATACTTACCTCACATCATACACAACAATTTATTCAAAATGGACCAAGGACCTCAATGGACGTCGGGTGTAGGGAAGGAAACTGACTACAAATGGACACGAAGGATCTTTTCAGTGATGGAAATGTTCTAAAACAGGCAGGTTTACTAAAAACCACTGAACTGTCCACTTAAAATGGGTGAATTTTATGGTCTGGAAATTATACCTCAATAAAGTTGTTTTAATTAAAAACTCTACTAGAGACAAACGCTTAAGCAAGTATCTCTTGTAAAACATTTTTTTGTTTGTTTGTTTTTGAGACGGAGTCTCGCTCTGTCACCCGGGCTGGAGTACAGTGGCGCGATCTTGGCTCACTCAAGCTCCACCTCTGGGTTTACGCCATTCTCCTGCCTCAGCGTCCCAAGTAGCTGGGACTACAGGGCGCCCACCATCACGCCTGGCTAATTTTTTTATTTTTAGTAGAGACAGGGTTTCACCATGTTAGCCAAGACGGTCTCGATCTTCTGACCTTGTGATCTGCCCGCCTCGGCCTCCCAAAGTGCTGGGATTACAGGCGTGAGCCATGGCACCCGGCCACATTTTTTCAAGTACTAATAGATGAGGTACAAGCTTATCCAATGTCAGTTTTTCCAAGTCTATTTCTTTCTAAATTGGTTGAGAAAAACAACTGCATTGCAGCCAGGGGTGGTGGCTCACGCCTGTAATCCCAGCACTTGGGGAGGCCGAGGCCGGAGGGTCACAAGGTTAGGAGTTCGAGACCAGCCTGGCCAATACGGTGAAACCCCGTCTCTACTAAAAATACAAAAATTAGCCGGGCATGGTGGCACGCACCTGTAGTCCCAGCTACTTGGGAGGCTGAGGCAGGAGAATTGCTTGAACCCGGGAGGTGGAGGTTGCAGTGAACCAAGATCGCACCACTGCACTCCAGCCTGGGGGACAGAGGGAGACTCCGTCTCAAAAAAAAAAAAAAAAAAAAAAGAAACTGCATTGCTAATACTGATTTAAACTAACATTTAGTGTATGTGTGTATGGCTGTGTGTGTGTATGTGTGTGTGAATCTGTGTGTTTTTTTGAGACAGAGTCTCACTCTGTCACCAGGGTGGGGTGCAGTGGCAGGATCTCGGCTCACAGGTTCAAGTGATTCTCCTGCCTCAGCCTCCCGAGTAGCTGGGACTACAAGTGCATGCCACCACGCCTGGCTAATTTTTTGTATTTTTAGTAGAGACAGGGTTTCACCATGCTAGCCAGGATGGTCTCGATCTCTTGACCTCGTGATCCACCTGCCTCGACCTCCCAAAGTGTGTGTGTATTTTTTAAGACAGGGTCTCGCTCTGTCCCCCTAGCTGGAGTGCAATAGCGCAATCACAGCTCACTGCAGCCTTGACCTCCTGGGCTCTAACGATCCTCTCATCTCAGTCCCCCAAGTAGCTGGCTGGGACCATAGGTGTGTGACACCATATCCAGCTAATTAAAAAAAATTTTTTTATAGAGACGGGAATCTCCCTATGTTGCCCAGGCTGGTCTTGAACCCCTGAGCTCAAGCAACCCTCCAGCTCAGCCTCCCAAACTTCTGGGATTACAGGCATGAGCCACTGTAACCAGCTGAGTGAAATTTTAAGTAACTTCTATACCCTCAGAAAAGTTTAGGAAATAGGTATCATAGGAAAATGAGTTACAGTTGAGAAAAACTACTCAGGCCACATTTTTACCTGAAATTTTCACATAAGTCAAAAAACATGCAAAAAAATTTCCAGTTTTAAATAAGCCATTATGACTGATAATACTTTGTTTGCAGCTTAATATAAGGAACCAAGTCACCACTCAATCTTTAAGCCCTTTGAAAGTGTCAGTCTGAAATGAACTTAAAACGACACCCAATAATGTATGACATCCTTCAATTCCTTTGTTTCTATGCTACAAAGATAAGCAACATATTTAAAGATAAAATTTTCTTGAATTTAAATCTACAATGATATGCAGGATCAAAAACTGAGTTTTTTCTAAATGTAATACATCATCTAGCAATCGTTTTTTTAAAGCTTCTCATATTAACATACATATTAGTGATAAAAAATCATATTCTAAAGAAGGGAAATGAGATAACAGCACAATCACCTAAGTTATAAACAATTCACATAATATTCTAAAAAGCTATATGGCACATCCCAGAACAATAAAGTACATTTAAAGGACAAATATAATTAGCTCTTAATGTACTACTGATAGATAATAATACTGATATGTATTCCAGCCCAGAATCGATTTCTATTGCCAAATGCAACTCCTTTCAGAAGTCCAGAGGAAACAAGATCATTGATTCTATTTATAAAGTTATACAACTGAGATGTATTCAAATGCTGTACATCTTAAGAGAATAGTATCTTCAAAAGGCAGATGGTATACAAGGAATTGTCTGCCAGTATTTTACCTTAAAATTGAGTGCAAAAAAATGAAAATGGGTGGCAATTATACCACAAACACCCATCCATTGGAAGTAAGATATAACTTAGGCCATCTACAGGAAGTTTCAATTATTATTAGATCTGGCTATCTGTCAAGTAAGCAAAAGGCCATCTCAATATAAAGAATATTCTGGATTGCAAATGGAGATCCAGAGCCTGCAAAAGAACCACAAAGCTAAAAAAGCACACACAATAATGGAGAAACAGGCAACTAAATGACAGAAGAGTAGAAAAATCTGCAGTTTTGTTTTTTAAGGACTGGGTATGGAAATCTAGGAGAAATAAATATCTTAATGAGAACAGCTGATAAGGCATTTTTAGTATTTTTAAATGCTGAGAAATGTTAATGCTGAAAATAAAGGCCAATACCCAGTTGTCAAATTCAGAAGTCCTTTAGCATGTTTAGTCTTTTCTTTTTAGAGACTTCAGTTTCTAATGAATAACACCAATGAATAAAGGCTACCATTATTGATGACTCTTCACTGAGATTTAAGAAATAAAATTCTTTATCTGCTAATTGGTGCTAAGTATCAAGGACTTTATTGGTTGGAGTAGACAGAAGAAAGTGGTTAAGAGGCTTCAGAGAAACAACCCCTGCTGGCACATTACCCACTAGAGTAGACAAAGACTACTTATGTGAACTCCACATTAAAATCACCAAAAATGTCCCTTCATGTAGCAGCAAGTCTAAGCTCTATAAGTTAATAGAAGCTAAACAATTTTCTGCTCAACTAAAAGAAGTGACATAGTCTGTATTATGTTTCTACAATTTTATAAGTCACTAAGCTAGTGAAGTTGTCGCTTAAACAATTTATAACTTTTGTTATAAACGAAGTTTAGTAACTACTACTTTATCTCCTGAGTTTCCAACCCATTTAACAGTAGCAGGAAAGTCAGATGAAAAGATAATTCACCTCTATAAATGTGAAACTCCCTTTTAAAGACAACGTGCTTTCCCTCCAGTTTATTATTCTACAGATCAATTCACTGTTCTGAAGCAACTTCAATTTTATTTACCTTGGATTACTAGTCTATATAAAGAAGGATGAAACAATCTGCTTACTAGCCTATTTATGTGGTTGCCAGTCTTACAACCATTTTTTTTTTGGTGGGGGTGGGTGGGTGGGAGGTGGTGTCTTTAAACAAAATTCCCAAATAGCATTTTTTAACATGTTAATGTTTTAGTGCATGTTAAATAGTATAGTTTGTAACAAAGATGTATCCAAATTCAAACTTGTAAGATTAATAAATTTTAATACCAATTTGCATGTAACTATCTGGTAAAGTATTTTTCAATAAAAGAAAAAGGTAACTTTCAGTTTCATCAGCAATTTTATGAACAACAAATTTGAAAGTTAGAAAATAACATAAATATTCCTTGGGCCACTTTGTTTTTTGGTGGATCACACTTTAACATATTATCTGAAACTCCATCTAATAATGCCTTCTCCTTTTGAAGAGTCAAGTCGAGTAAGTCGAGTAAGTCGTCTTTCCTTCTCCTAAGCATTCTATTCATACTACTACTTCTATGGCTAATCCATACTGAAAGACATTTCCAAAACAAATAGGCCTACATTTCACCTTATCTACTACTGTTGTGAAGGCATGCATTTTAGGAATACAAAACACACACTTTAGGAAATGTGTATTCTATTCAAGAAGTATTTACCTTGACTTTTTTTCTCAGTAAAGTTTATAATATTCTGCCCCTACATGTAAATTAAAGTGCAGGCTGCCTCTAAATAATGCAACTGTTTGCCAAATAAAGTGAACAAATAAGTTATACCATACTTTCAACGTATTTACGCCTGACCAAGACTTCCCCATATATATTCAGCTCATTATCTTCAATTTGTTCCATTATGCACTTCACAGTTAGGGATGTAATCCAATCCCCACAAAGGCTTATGCTCTAAAACATAAACTTAAGCCATCTTTAGATGGCTTAAACACCCTAGGAAAATGTTGCTGTTTAAAATAGTTATTTCTGACAAAAATAAAATCAATCAGTAAGAAGACATTTTTAGAAAGGCTCTTTCAGTAACAAATCAAATTTTACATACCTGTAATATCAAGAACTGTAGGAAATTCAGTGTAGTATCTATGAACTGTTTCAAGAAGTTGAGCACCATGGCCTTGACCTTGAAATGGAGTCAAAATCAGCATCTGACTACAGTAAAGAAATTATTTTAAAATTAAAATATCATAACATGACCAGTTTAAAACCTGCAGATCACTATAGTATTACAAACACTTTAAAGTTTGTGTGATCTTTTTTTCAATCCACCTTTGAGATACCCAAAAATTATCAAGATACTCAAAATTAGTTTAATCTTCTACACTGTTTCAAAGGGAACAATGAAATAAATCAGTACATAGCCCATGAATAATAGTGATTTTTTTTTTAAACAAATCAACACTATTATAACAAGTATTGGAAACTTCAGCAGTTCCTTCTTCTGAAATAAAAGACAAGGCACGTGTTATACTGCCAATTACCTTACACGTGGCCGGGTTTTGTCTGGGTACACATAGTAATTATAGACTGTCATGTAGCCTACGGTCGCAAAGAGCGTAGCTCCATCCTTATTATACTTCTCAAATCTGCAGATAAAACAGAAAGCCAAGCAGGTCAATTACAGTCGCGCTCCCATGCAGTGTCCATTTTCTTTTCCATTCTCTGACTGAATTTTCAGTGTCAGCAAGCTACTCTGTGAGGGCCCAATGGGTACACCTGCTATGTTCTGAATGTACAATTCACTTAATTGGTGTGCAGCAACTTGGATAAATCAGACCTCTTTACATCACTTCAGTGCACTTGCCTATTATAAAGATGAATAGGTGGCAAGTAAAAGAAAACACAGGCAAAGCTCATTTTACTGTTTAAGCCTACATTCAGGGCCCTAACGGACAACAGCATTTAATTCAGCTCTATTCTCAAGGTCTCCCAAAGCATAATGAAGGAAAACTCAAGCCTCATAAACAATAGTTTTTCTTTCCTGGGAAAAATATCATTATACTGTCCCAATAATTGGGCTGCCACAATTAAAATGCTGGCTTTGTGGAGGTAATAAGGTCTACTGTTGCTTTAGAACTGTACTTACACTAGAAAGTAGTGCCATCTTTCATCATCCACGTCAATAAAGCTAGCAGTTTCAATAAACCACATCAAAAAGGTCTGAAGCCTTTCATGATATTCTCGAAAGCCTCTACATGTCATGTCAGCCTAGGGAAAAAGCCAGGAAAAGTCAGGTGAAACTCATCACAAAGGTAAGTGAAAGTCCGCAGAACACAAAATTATCCTGTGGGAAAATGTTTAGAAGTCTCAGATTAAGATGTGAACATAGATACAGACATACACACAAAATAGATCTTGGTTTATAATGCTGATTAAAACTTGTTTACTGCAGTTAGAATAAATCACTGACAACAAAACTACATACAGGTTTCAGGCAAATAGAACTTTACTCAATAAATATTTAGATTTATCTTTACCTTATATATCTGAAAGGTAAAGTTTTCTCCTCCTGTTGGACTGAGAACTGAGTAGGTATGAAGTAAGGTTCCGAATGGCTTGAAATCAACTTCCTTTTCCAGTAAAGAAAGGAAATCATTCGTGTTTGTGCAAAATCCAGGTGGAATGATTTGTCTAATTTTGCCCTCAACATCATCTGCCTAAAGAATAAAGGATATAAAAAATTAATAACAAATTCGACTTTAAGTTGAATATGGTTTATTTCTTTAAAACTGACAAAACCAACACAAATTACAAAACTTTGGTTGAAAACTAAAGAAGTAAACACACAGCGAATTGGAAAAGGATGAGCTTCCTGTGCACAAACTGCATCACACAAAACTGAGATGAGCATAATATAAAAGTAAATAAGAGAAGGCAGGTGACCTGATACCAAGTACAATAATAAGGGCAATGCTATGGACATTTCCATTATGCAGAAACAGCTGACTATACCCCTTCATGACAGTCTGAACTGGCCAAGGCAAAAGGTTGCTTATTATTTTATATGTGTCAAAGAAATCATATTATCCAAGACATGAAAAGATCACCAGCAGTGGTGAGATGAGACTAGAGTCTGACCAAATGAATAGCAATCTCACAACTAGATGGGTCACAATTCCCTCATATGCCAAACTCAAACTAAGATGATAACTTAAAAATATACATATTTAGGAAATAACATAAATTATATGAATGGATATATCATTCTTTTATCCTTAGAATGTGACACAATTCTTACAGACCTGGATTTGTGACAGTAAAAAAGAGACAAGACTGGACAACAAAACTAAACTCGGAGATTAAAATTACCCTTGTTAAACAACCTCTATCAATGTTATCAGCTGAGCAGACTTCATAATCCTTTTCAAAATCCCAAAAGACCACTTGATTGAATACATTTACTACTTCTCTTTAACCATGAATATTTGATGAAGTCTTACAATAAAGTATTGCTGCTTCTCACCAGGCAATAAAACTTAATGAATTGGTCTCAACTTAACAAAACCTTATCCCTCAATACAGTCCCTAAAAGCCTGACATTACATTCAACAAAATGAGCTTGTATTCTATTCAAACTTTTTCCTGAACAATGAGGCCAGGTTTTTACTTAATGGAGTTTGCCGTGAGTTCAGCTGTAATGTTTGTATTGTATCTATTTCCACAAGGACTGACACAAGAACACTTTGTGTTAACTTACTAAGCAGCTCTTTCATACCGTTTACATGCATGATGGGTATTAGTTCTAAACCAAGACCCTTGCTACTTAGCATTCAAAACAGGGAAATTAAGATGCTTAGGACAAAATACACTACAAAAGGCTAATACAACATGCTACTAATTCCTATCCTTTCAACCATCTTTTAACTAAGTAGAAGCAATGCACCTGCAGATGAATAGCACTTTATTATGATTCAGTTACATTTCAGGATAGAGAACCAGTGATGACGTTTATCACAAACAAGTTTTATTTTCAATGCTCTGGTACCACCAACATTTATATATAATTTGTTTATAGGTATAAAAAAGACCTATTATTGAAAATATAGCTCTTCAGCATTTTGCCCAACAGTTTATTTCTAATATGTACATCAGTCCTTGCAACTCATTCACACTCTAGATCAAATAAACTGCATTTCATAGGACAGTTTTTGCTTATTTTTAAAGTACTATTTGATAAATATTTTTCCTTGAAATTGCTAACATGAAGAGGCCATCGTAAGCATATTTTATAGTATCAGTACAATTTCAACAGCTATCAAGGAAACTGTCATAATGAGGGATAGCTGTAATAGATGTGTTGTGTAGCAATTAAAATCCAAAGTAGTGATGAGTAAAACAGTATAGTATGTTAGTTAAGGTTTTTAAAAAGCCAAGAAAAACTACTTTTAAAAAGGGATTTATAATCTATCAGTTTAAAAATCACTTTAAGACTTTCATAGCATGTATAATTTTAACTTTTAAAAACTTTCCTTATGTCCTGTCTTCTCAAGAAGGCATTGCAAATCACTTTACATATCTTGTATCAAATCTACTTCAAAGACTTCTCAGAAACTCTAAGTTTCAAGTAGCACTTTTGGTGGCGGGCAGAGCAACCAGAAGGTTTGAGCCCAACAAAGTTGAAAAAGGGCTTTCAGCCTTCAAAGGATGTCTATTTCCTGTAATAAATATCTTCAAATAAAATAGTTTGCTTTGTGTAAGTTTACACATTAAGAATTTTTACGGGGCAAAGGGCAATTTTAAAGCAAGGAATCTTTATATAATTATATAAATATATATTTATAAATAGTTATGTATATAAATATGTATCTGATATACTTACATAAAATATACAACTTAAAACCAAATAGTTCTTCAACCTAGAATTTACAACTTCGCTTCACTAAAGGGAAAATGTCTGCATTTCTCTATTAAATGGATTCTGCTTTAAGAAAAAAAAAAATCCTGACTACCATGTCTTAGAGATCTGTACTCTTTTCTCAAATATATAATTTAGTTTAATTTAAAATATTCGTCTTTCAGATTGGATTACTGATCAGATAATAAAATCAGCACAAGAGCAAGACCTCATTTAATCATTGTTAATTGAATAGAGTTAAAAATGAACAGAAACTTTTTAATTCCAATGTTTGTGGCTAAAAGTTTAGAATCTATTTCTGAAGATCACTGAAAAATTCCCTGTATTCCAGAGCATTATTCTAAACTTCAACTAAAATTATACAGAAATATAGAAAGGGTAAGAAATTCAGCTGACTAGACACACCAGGGAACTAGAATTTCAAAAAAATTTTTAAAAAGACACCAGGCTGGGCATGGTGGCTCACACCTATAATCCCAGCACTTTGGGAGGCCAAAATACGCACATCACCTGAAGTCAGGAGTTTGAGACCAGCCTGGCCAACATGGTGAAACCCTGTCTCTAATAAAAATACAAAAGTAGCTGGGCGTGGTGGTGTGCACCTGTAATCCCAGCTACTTGGGAGGCTGAGGCAGGAGAATCACTTGAACTTGGGAGGCGGAGGTTGCAGTGAGCCAAGACTGCGCCACTGCACTCCAGCCTGGGTGACAGGGTGAGACTCCGTCTCAAAAAAAGAAACCAGAATACAACCTGATATATTTAATTAACAAAGACATCTCTTACAAATGGTTTCCTAACGCTTGGTAATTTATTTTTAAAAAGGAAAGTGCAAAAGTATTCTAGTTAGATATTCTGGTAGGTGGGTCATTATGAAATATTTTTAGATTGTATACTATTTAACTATGGTCATTTCAAGTTCCAGTGTTCTGTACTTTATTACACATGAACATGTTCATATGGAGCAATTTTTGCATTTCCTCATTATTGAATAAAGCGATATGCCTGATAATTAGTAATCTATTTTTTTAATGTTTATATTTGTATTTATACACATTTGAAAACCCAATAACCTCTCTAACATCTTATCTTAAGCAGCACCATTTGTCTAAATTTGTCTAGTTATTTTTGAGATTGAAATTAAAGGCACGTTAAGTAGGTGGTAACATGTTGTTCTTTACTTGGCTAAAGTGGTACATAGACTTAACTATAATTCTAAGACTACCTAAAATATGCTAAAAAAAAAAAAAAACAAGCAAAAGAAATTCTGTATCTACTTAATGTTCTCAATCTCATGTTCTCTGATAATATTTAAGCTTTAACTACAGAATGTATTGTTGAGAAATTAAAAGTGTGAACTTTTTCACTAATGGAAAAACAAAGGTCATATTATGTTTATTTACACTGCATTAGTATTTTGCTACTTGAACTAAACAAGATAAACTTGTCAATATATACTTTTAAAGCTCTTTATGATATTTCATAAAAAGTATTACTTATCAAGAACACCATCACAATTTGAAATTTTACTAGTCTACCAAAGATTTTTTCGAAATTTCTGGAAGTATGTAGGATTTTCCTAGAAAGAGGCTAAACACTCCATAAAATTTTTAAAATCTGCTCTCATATCCTCTCAAATTCAATCCAATTAGTGGGACACTAGGATAAAATAACTGAAATTCACAGTTAATACAAACTTTATCCATCTATTTCAACTTCCTGTACCAAACTTTTCCCAGAAATGCTAGCAATTAGCAAGACAACAATCTTAGTTACCCACTACTTCACTAAAAGGCAATGAAATTACCCCCAAGAAAAGGCAGGAGGTTTTTGTTTTTAAGACAAGAGTCTTGCTCTGTCACCTAGGCTGGAATGTAGTAGTGTAACCATAGCTTACTGCAGCCTTGACCTCCTGGGCTCAAGAGATCCTTCTGTCTCAGCCTTCCAAGTAGCTGGGACTACAGGAGCATGCCATCATGCCTAGCTTTTGTTTTCGTTTTTTGAGACAGAGTCTTGCTCTGTCACCCAAGCTGGAGTACAGTGGCGCGAACTCGGCTTCCTGCAACCTCCACTTCCCGAGTTCAAGTGATTCTCCTGCCTCACCCTCCTGAGTAGCTAGGACCACAAGCACGCACCACAACACCTGGCTAATTTTTGCACTTTTGGTAGAGATGAGGTTTCACCATGTTGGCCAGGCTAGTCTCAAACTCCTGACCTCAAGTGACCTGTCCACCTCGGCCTCCCAAAGCGCTGGGATTACAGGTTTGAGCCACCACGTTCAGCATTTTTTTTTTTTAATAGGCAGGGTCTTATTATGTTACCAAGGCTGGTCTCAAATTCCTGGCCTCAAATGATCCTCCTGAGTCAGCCTACAGAGTAGCTGGCATTACAAGCACAGAGCAGGAGGTGTTAATAAAAGCAAAGGTCAAGGACAACCAGATGAAAAAATCATCAGTGTCTGAATAATCAAGTTTATTGTATTGTAAAATTCAGAATTATGTTTCCTTTAAAGATGGTGGCTAGTAGAGATTTTATAGGCATCTTAATTGTGACTGAAGAATTTTAGGTGCAACTAGAGCATTCAGCTTGGAAAAGTAAAAGAATGGATGATTAAAAATTAATGTAATGACATAATCCTAATAAGAAATAACTTCTAAGCAGATGTTATGGCTGCTGACCATCTATGCAGTATGATCTGCAAAGCCCTAATATATTAGACTCAAACCTAACATCCAAAATAAAATTTTTTTATTTTTTCCACTTAAACCTATTTCTTCTATAGTTTTCCCAGTTAACAGTACCATAATTGAACTTGGGCAATGGGGTTCTCGTTTTTTTTCTTCATCTGTCACATCTAATTCAACAGCAGACCTCCAAAATGTTCCTTACTCTGACAACTAAGTCCAGTGTCACCTCTAACACTGCAATGTTCCGGTCTCTTCTTTCACTTTTGCCCTATACAGTGTGTTCTCTGCACAGCAGCCAGAATCATATTTTAAAAATATAAATCACATTGTTTATGACCTCCACCTACTTAAGAATGCCTCTAAAGAATGCCAACTACTCTTATTTCTTGCAAACACCTATCACAGAACACAAGATCCTATATGATGATCTAGCTTTGCATCCCCTTCAACCATCTCCTACCCCTCTCTCCATCACCACAATGATTTAACCCTGGTAATCTTTCTGGACTACAAAAATGCCAAAAATGCTGTATTTTTAGAGCCTTTGTATCTTAGTAAGCTTTACCCTCAGATTATAACATGGCTGGTTCCTCCTTTATCATTCAGAAATGAGCAAAATGTATCTTCATAATACTGCCTGAATTTAATTTGTGTATTTACTATTTTGTTTACTGACTGTTCCTCTTGGCTAGAATGTAAGCTCCATGACTTTGTCTGCCACTGTATCGCTGGCATCAACAACACAGAAGGCACTATGGAATGAACACTCACTGCAAACTGAGATAGAAGAAGCAAGCCCATGACCCACATATCCCCTACCCAATCGTTTTTAATAAGGGGAAAAAAGTCTTTGTTTGAATACGCAATATAAATGATCTTTGACCACAAAGCAAATAAGTAACTCTACAAAGAGACATTATAAAAGATTGATTCCTTATTCCTAACACAGTATTTCTAAATGGAAAAACCTAATTTTCAAGAATGGAACAATTAGATGTCAATGCAAATACACAGCTATTTTCACTGCATGAAATATTTAAAAGATTTATCTATAACTAAATCAATAGTTCCTTTGGAAGAAATCAATTCAGTGCTATCAGCTGCAACTGTAAAAAACAAAAACCCTCCAACAGTGGGTTTACACACAAGGAAAAACATCACCTGCATTTTTAATAAGAATATCTAGCTGGGCTTGGGTCTGGAGAATTTAGCAATCTACATATTTGATTATGAAAAAACTCTATTTTAATAAATGTGTTAAATGCTAGTTTATCTAAGATTACATCTTTTCAAACATCAAACCACTACAGTATTACTCAGAATCACTTTTGTATCTGCACAATTTCAAAAGTTATCCTGGGAAACAAACTATATAAAATAAAACAAATATTAAATGTAGTTACATATTATTTATCTGGCAAGCTCAGTCATCTCAAACATGGCTGGGAAGTGGGGAAAAACACACAAAAAAACCAAATAGAACTCAAAATATTTCTAATACTAAAGTTGAATAATGAATATGAAACTACTTCAGATCTTTTTCATGCTATGCACAATTCATATTATATGAAACTATTTCAGATCTTTTTCATGCTACGCACAATTAGTTTTATAGATGGGGCATAGGGTTGGCAAAAGAGGTAAAGTCAGAAGTTAATGTCAGTTTAAAGTCCTGAAAAAGTTGGTGGCATTGTTAATGTTTTAGGAACTGCTACTTCTGCAAAAGAAAGTTATGACATACAGTATGAAGTAATCAGATTCCATCAAGCTTACCAATATGGTATTTTTAACCATAAGGGGTTTGCTAGTGTGAAGCTCCTTACAATGATAGCAGTAAACTGGGAGCACATGGCATAAAACACAGGAGAAGGCTGGGTACGGTGGCTTGTGCCTGTAATCCCAGCATTTTGGAAGGCCAAGGTGGGAAGATTGCTTGAGGCCAGGAGTTTGAGGCCAGTCTGGGCACTATAGCAAGACCCCGTCTCTACAAAAAATTAAAAATTAAAAAAATATTTTTTTTAATGAGGGGGAAAAACACATGGTCAAAAGGGGAAAGATACCTATGTAACAAACGTGCAAGTTCTGCACATGTATCCCAGAACTTAAAATTAAAAAAAAAAATAACGGGAGAGAGAGAGAAAAAGCAGTAAGCCCAAGAGCCTGGATCCTCTTAGAACAGGTCATAAATATTCCTAACATCTTTTAATCAGGATATTATTATATATTATGCATAATAACACTAAATAATCATCTCCTAGTACAATACTGATTATTTACTAGTTGTATGACTTTGGGCAAAACCTTTAAATATAACAAATCCCTCAAAATTTAAATAATAAAAAAGGGCCAAGTAAGTCAGTTCCAGTAATGAGAGGAGGTTTTAACCAAAAATATAGATGGGGCATAGGGGTGGCAAAAGAGGTAAAGTCAACAGTTAAAATCAGTTTAAAGCCCTGAAAAAGTTGGTTTAATTGTTAATTCTTTAGGAACTGCTACTTCTGCAGAGGAAAGTTATGACATACAGTATGAAGTAATATATTTCATTTTCCATACTTGTGTCTAGCACAGTATTACCAACAGTATATCAGATATAATTTACTAAAACTTGCTGGATTAATAAGTGCAAAGAAAAGAGATTTTGCTATAAGAATTAACTTTCAATTTTATAAATATGATTTAGTGACAAAATGGGATTTAATCTTTAAAAAAATCAATGGTGAAGTTTCAATGCCCTTAAATGAGGAATGCTCGGAAACAGAACAAGCCTAAAATATAATTTTCTTAAGGCCCTCAAAGATTCATGTCCATCCCACATGCAAAATACATTCATTCTATCCAAACATTCCTAAAAGTCTCAACCATTACCATATCAACTCAAGCCCAAAATCTCATCTAGATATAGTCAGTTCAAAAGTCACACCTCTCATCATAGGTAAGACTGTGGGTATGATACATCCTAGGGCAAAATTCCTCTCCATCTATGAACCTGTGAAATTAGAAAACACAGTATCACTTCCAAAAGACAATGGTAGGACAGGCATAGGACAACAGTTATAGAATCTCTCATTCCAGAAAAGGAAATGGAAGGAAGAAAGGAGCCACTGCCACCAAGCAATTTCAAAATTCAGCATGGCAAACTCCATTAGGTTTCAAGGCCTAAGAATAACTGTGGCCTGCAGCTCCACCCTCTGGACCCAAAGCTTTGCCCTCAGAGTCATTCTTCCACTTTCTTTAAAGGTAGCACATGTTGGCAGCTGAGCAGTTTTATTAGCCTGTTTCCTGCCTGTGAAATTTGGAGAGTTCATACAGCCTTCCTTCATTTTGTCCTGTCAATCCAAGCTGCACTATAAAGTTTTAATTCTCAAAACCCTTGAGTCGCCTGTGTACGTCATGAGGGTTCATACCATTAGACAAGAGGGTCCTCCACAAATGTTCCCCAGATCTACATTCCTAGCTTTTTGCTGAGACAACTGAGGAGATCCATGAGTCACGTGCCTAATCCCTTCAGCACTAGCAAAAGGTTATCCTGTCACACTCACGGCTTTCTCTCCAGAACACACTTTCCACCTTCCTGACAATGAATATCCTAACTAGTGTCTTCTACAATCTGGATAGGTTAAGAATTTCCCAAATCATCAAGTCCTGTATCCTTTTTGTTTAACAGTTCTTCCCTCAATTTATCTCTTTCATCACTTTACTATAAGCAGCCAGAAATCAGGCCACACCTCCAATACTTTCCATGAAAACCTCCTCAGCTAAACATCCAAGTTCATTGCTTACAGTAAGTTCTCCTTTCCACAGAACTGCAGGACATAACTCAGCTAGGCTTTCTGCCACTATAGAACAAGGATATCCTTTTCTCCAGTTGCCAAATACATGTTCCTCATTTTATTCTAAGCCCTCACCAACCAGAGGCACTTCTTTTGTTTGTTTGTTTGTTTTTTGGAGACAAGGTCTGGCTCTGTCACTCAGGCTGGAGTGCAGTGGCACCATCTTGGCTCACTGCAACCTTCACCTCCCGTGCTTAAGCCAGTCTCCCACCTCAGGCTCCAGAGTAGCTGGAACTACAGGCACACACCACCACACCCAGCGTGTGTGTGTCAGCGTGTGTGTGTGTGCATGCGTGCGTGTGTGCGTGTAGAGATGGGTTTTCGCCATACTGCCCAGGCTGGCTTGAACTCCTGAGCCCAAGTGATCTACCTACCTTGGCCTCCCAAAGTGCTAGGATTACAAATGTGAGCCACTAAGCCTGGCCTTTTTTTTTTTTTTTTTTTTTTTAAAGACAGGGTCTCACTGTCACCCAGGCTGGAGTGCAGTGGCATGATCATACTTACCTTACTGTAGCCTCAACCTGCTGGCCTCAAATGATCCTCCTGCCTCATTCTCCTCAGTAGCAGAGGCACTTTTTTTTTGAGACAGAGTCTCGCTCTGTTGCCCAGGCTGGAGTGCAGTGGCGCGATATCGGCTCACCGCAACCTCCGCCTACCGGGTTCCGGTGATTCTCCTGCCTCAGCCTCCCGAGTAGCTGGGATTACAGGCATGCGCCACCATGCCGGGCTAATTTTTGTATTTTTAGTAGAGACGGGGTTTCACTATGTTGGCCAGGCTGGACTCAAACTCCTGACCTCGTGATCCACCTGCCCTGGCCTCCCAAAGTGCTGTGGGATTATAGGCATGAGCCAACGCATCCAGCTCATGTTCGTGTTTCTACCAAAACTAAGTTTATGACTATATATATATTCTCTAAGATGATACAGGTGTTCTCTCCTACACTCCTAGCTTCATTCTGAGCCCTAACCAACAGTCCATTATTTCCTTTATTTATTTATTTATTTATTTTTGAGATGGAGTTTTGCTTTTGTTGCCCCGGCTGGAGTGCAATGAATGGCGCGATCTTGGCTCACTGCAACCTCTGCCTCCCAGGTTCAAGTGATTCTCCTGCCTCAGCCCCCCAAGTTGCTGGGATTACATGTGCCTGCCACCACGCCCGGCTAATTTTTGTATTTTTAGTAGAGATGGGTTTCACCATGTTGGCCAGGCTAGTCTCAAACTCCTGACCTCAGGTGATCCTCCCGCCTTGGCCTTCTAAATTGCTGGGATTACAGGCATGAGCCACTGCGCCCAGCCCATATTTCCTTTAACATCCATATTTCTACCAACAGTCCATTCAAGGTAATCTATGCTTTTTCTATCATGCACCTTCAAAACTCTTCCAGCCTCTACCTATTTCCAAAGACACTTCTACATTTTTAGTTATTGGTTATAGCAGCATCCCACTTCCTGGTATGAAAACCTGTATTCGTTTCCTGTGGCTGCTATAATAAATTACCACAAACTTGGTGGCTTAAAACAATATTTATTCTCTTACGGTCTGGAGGTGTTCTGAAATCAGTATCACTGGGCTGTAACCAAGGTAATACACTCCCTCTGGAAGCTCTAGGAGGGAATCTGTTCCTTTCTTCTTCCAGCTTCTAGTGAGTAAGCATTCTTTGGCTTCTGGCCATATCACATCTGCCTCTGTGGTCACACTGCCTTCTCCTTTTCTGTCATCAAGTTTCCTTCTGTCTCCCTCTCATTAGGATACATGTCATTACATTTAGGTCCACCCAAATATTCCAGGATAATATCAAGATATTTAATTACATCAGCGAAGTGCTTTTTGCAATATGAGGCACCATTCACAGGTTCCAGATATTAGGACATGGATATCTTTTGGGGGGAACCATTATTCAGTCTACCACAGATGCATACTCATCTCTCTCTCTTTTTTTGAGATGGAGTCTTGCTTTGTCACCCAGGCTGGAGTGCAATGGCGCAATCTTGGCTCACTGCAACCTCCACCTCCTGGGTTCAAGCAATTCTCCTGCCTTAGCCTCCCGAGTAGCTGGGATTACAGGCATGCACCACTGCGCCCAGCTAATTTTTGTATTTTTAGTAGAGACGGGGTTTCGCCATGTTGGCCAGGCTGGTCTCAAACTCCTGACCTCAGGTGATCCGCCCACCTCAGCCTCCCAAAGTGATAGGATTACAGGCATGAGCCACTGTGCCCGGCCTCATCTCTCTCTTTACCTTTATCCCCTTTTGATACACTCACTTTAAATAGTTTTATAATGTGATCAGCTTGATCATCCATGTATTCCATCCATAAAGGAATATATTAGCAAAATTTGTGGGATTAGAAATGCAGCAAGAGAAACTTCAATAGATTCCACACTAGGTAAAAGTGGAAAATTTAGCTATTTCCCTCCATCTTCTTTGACTTATAGGAAATAACCACAATAAAAAACAAAAGTTGGCAAAAAAATAAAACTCTGATCACAAAGGCAAAGATTTTTATGAAGAAGGTCCATGCAGGAAACAGAACAGGATCATGATCACAGGATTAACTGTAATGACAGGGAGGCAAATGCCTCCATAACTAAAGACTGAGTATATGATTTTATTTAATTAATTAATTTTTTTTTGAGACAGTTTCACTCTGTCACCCAGGCTGCAGTGCAGTGGCACGATCTCAACTCACTGCAACCTCTGCCTCCCAGGTTCAAGCAATTCTCCTGCCTCAGCCTCCCAAGTAGCTGGGATTACAGGTGTGTACCACCACGCCCAGCTAATTTTTGTATTTTTAGTAGAGACGGGGTTTCACCATGTTGGCCAGACTGGTCTTGAACTCCTGGCCTCAGGTGATCCGCCCACCTTGGCCTCCCAAAGTGCTGGGATTATAGGCGTTAGCCACCACACCCAGCCTGAGAATGTGATTTTAAAACTACCATATAACAGATTCTCTCTTCCCTCAAACCTTAATTTTTTTTTTTTTTTTTTTTTAAGAGACAGGGTCTTGTTCTGTTGCCCGGGCTGGAGTGCAGTGGTGCCATCATGGCTCACTGGCAGCCTCAAGCTCCTGGGCTCAAGTAATCCTCCCACCTCAGCCTCCCAAGTAGCTGAGGGTCTCACTATGTTGTCCAGGCTGGTTTCCAACTCCTGGGCTTGAGATCCTCCCACTTCAGCCTCCAAAAGCACTGGCATTATAGGCACAAGCCACTGCACCCAGCCCAAACCTTTAATTTTTAGAAACTATTTGTTTATTGTTTGTTTGTTTTGTTTTTGAGACAGGGTCTAGCTCTGTCATCCAGGCTGTAGTACAGTGGCATGATCTCAGCTGACTGTAGCCTCTGCCTCCTGGGCTCAAGCCATCCTCTGACCTCAGCCTCCTGAGTAGCTGGAATTACAGACACATGCCACCACGCCCCACTAATTTTTGTGGTTTTTTTGAGAAATGGGCTCTCACTATGTTGGCCAGGCTGGTCTCGAACTCCTAAGATCAAAAGATCTGCCCCCCTTGGTCCCCCAAACTGCTGGGGTTACAGGTGTGAGCCACCGCACCTGGCCTAAAACCTATTTTAAAATAAATTAAATTGGAAAACAGTTTAAAAAGTATTTCTGTTCTTACCTCTACACAGTCAAAGTTCTCATCAACTTTAGATGCATATTCAACACGGAACATTGTTGACAGGCTACCAGCAATATAGTATAACAGGATCTTTAGACCCTTGTAACCAAAAGCAGTTTCACTGAAATGGAAAAAATAGCAATAATGGAATGAATTTTTGCAGTCATTAAAAAGTATTAACCCTACATATAAACAAGTTTAACTTCATGGGTAGTTTCAAGATTTTAAACTATACTTAAAAAAAAAATCTACAATAAAATGTGCTTCAGTTTTCATCTATAAAATAGAATAACTCAGGAATGTTGCCTAAGTCAGGAATGTTGTTTGGGTTAAATAAGTTAATACATGTAAACTACTTATAAAACTGGCACATTGTATAAGTACTCACTAAATGTCAGACATTTAATACTATTGCTACTGTTGCTGCTGCTGCTACCATTACCAGTATTAGAAGGCATTTCAAATGAGAGAAGTAGTGTTAAATTAGGACCTGGCTAGGCAAGCAGCTACCAAGCCTTGGACCAGTCCCTCCAACTTACTGCTTACTGAATCACCAAAATCCAGAGCTGCAGCAATAGCACCTGCCTTACTACATGTAAACTGCTCTATGAACTCAAAAGGCAGATATGGAACTGCTGCTAATTCTTCCACCCCTGCTCCCTGCTATCACATTTATGCCTTAATATTCCTTTTTCCAGCTTAAAAGAGTCTTCTAAAAAGTGAACTCTAAATTATCCAAAATAGGTAAATCTATAGAGACAGAAAGTAAATTAGTGACTGCCTAAGACTACGGGTCAGGGTAAAGTGACTATTAATGCATTTTAGGGTTTTTGATGGAAGTAATGACAATGTTCCAAAATTGACTGTGTTTGCACAACTCTGAATACATTAAAAACCACTGAATTGTACACTTTAAATAAATGAATTGCACAGTATATATCTCAATAAAGCTGTATTCTGATTTTTTTAGAAAGTGAATTGTGAAAGAAAAGTGTTTGAAAGAAGCAGTGTCATTTCCAAATTTCTGTCTAGGCTACGAAAATACGGAGCACTGTCCATTCCAGCAACTCTGAAAGTTATGTGAAGAAGAAAGGAGTGGCAATGATACTAGGATCAAGACCAATTATCATGCTTGGGTCATACAGTTCAGGGATATCACTATTATGTTACTGTCCCCTACCCATCTTAGAAGAGTGGTATACAAGCACCCCACTTTCAGTGATATTACGCAAAACAGTGTGCAAAATGCCATTAAGAAGCACTAACTGGTCTGGGCACGGTGGCTCACACCAGTAATCCCAGCACTTTGGGATGCTGAGGCGGGGGGGGATCACTGGAAGTCAGGAGTTCAAGACCTGCCTGCCAACATGGTGAAACCACGTTTCTACTAAAACTACAAAAAAAAAAAAAAAAAAAATAGGCAGGTGTGGTGGTGGGTGCCTGTAATCCCAGCTACTCAAGAGGCTGAGGCAGGAGAATAGATTGAACCCAGGAGGTGGAGACTGCAGTGAGCTGAGATTGCGCCACTGCACTTCAGCCTGGGCAACAGAGCAAGACTCCGTCTCAAAAAATTAAAAAGAAGCACTATCTGTAAAACTAGATCTTATCTACTAAGATATTACACAGATTTTTTAAAGTAGTAAAAAGTAGAGAATAAAACAATGTCTCTTTAGAGATAGAACTCCAAAGAGAAAATATTCTTATTTTTATAATAAAGTAAAACCTATTTAAAATATGAAAGGCTGAAATTTTGGCATTAATCTATGTATAATAAGATACAATTATTAATATGTGAAAGCACATAAAATGCCTAATCTGATACATCAATAATGAAAAATTCACAGGAAATTCGTTGCAGGAAGAGACATTTGTTGACTTAAAAACACAATAAGGGCCTGGTGCAGTGGCTCACGCCTGTAATCCCAGCACTTCGGGAGGCCGAGGTGGGTGGATCATCTGAGGTTAGGAGTTCGACACCAGCCTGGCCAACACGGCAAAACCCCATCTCTACCAAAAATAACAAAAATTAGCTGGGCATGGTGGCAGGCGCCTGTAACCCCAGCGACTCGGGAGGCTGAGGCAGGAGCATCACTTGAACCCAGGAGGCGCAGCTTGCAGTGAGCCGAGATCGCACCATTCATTGCACTCCAGCCTGGGCAACAAGAGCGAAACTACGTCTCAAAACAAAACACACATTAAGGCTGGGCACAGTGGCTAACGCCTGTAATGCCAGCACTTTGGGAGGCTGAGGCAGGTGGATCACCTGAGGTCAGGAGTTCAAGACCAGCCTGGCCAACAGGGTGAAACCCCGTCTCTACTAAAAATACAAAAATTAGCTGGGTGGGATAGCACGTGTCTATAGTCCCACCTACTCGAGAAGCTGAGGCAGGAGAATCGCTTGAACCTGAGAGGCGGAGGTTGCAGTGAGCCAAGATTGCACCACTGCATTCCAGCCTGGGCAACAGAGTGAGACTCCATCTCAAAAAACAAGCAAACAACAAAAAAAGCCACACATTAAATATGGCTGGGTACAGTGGCTCACGCCTGTAATTCTAGGACTTTGGGAGGCTGAGGCAGGCAGACTGTCTAAGCTCCAGAGTTCGGGACCAGCCTGGCCAATATGCCAAAACCCCGCCTCTACTAAAATTACAAAAAAAAAAAATTAGCTGGGTGTGGTGGCACACACCTGTAGTCCCAGCTACTCGGGAGGCTGAGGCATGAGAATCGCTTGAACTGGGAGGCGGCAGAGGATGCAATGAGCCAAGAAGATCATGCCACTGCATTCCAGCCTGGGCAACAGAGCAAGACTCCGTCTCAAAAAACAAACAAACAAAAAAACCCAAAACCCCCACACATTAAAGAAATATGTCAATGATGTTAAAATAATGCATGGGGGGAAAAAAGACATGAAGGGAAATATTTAAATGTCCACTATGTCTAAATACCCTTTCCTACTACAACAAACCAGGGGTTCCATGGGAGACTGACTGACTCCAGAACTAACAGGGAAAGTACCAGATGAATCTGGAAACATCTTGTTGTGTGAGAAAGTAAAGTATCACCAAAATTATAAGGACATATCAGAAAGACTCAAAAGTGTCTGAAAGGGTGGCCACTTGCCAAATCTGGGATAATTTGAGCATCAAAATTAGTAGCAGTAACAGATTGTACATAGCCCACTGAATTGTAAAAGACTCCTTAGCCAGGTGCGGTGGTTCACGCCTGTAATCCCAGCACTTGGAGGATCACTTGAGCCCAGGAGTTCAAGACCAGCCTGGTCAACATAGGAAGACCCCCATCTCTTAAAAAAAAATTTTTTTTTTTTTTTTGAGACAGAGTCTCACTCTGTTGCCCAGGCTGGAGTGCAGTGGCGCAATCTCAGCTCACTGCAACCTCTGCCTCCCAGGTTCAGGCAATTCTCCTGCCTCAGCTTCCCAAGTAGCTGGGACTACAGGATACGCCAGCAAGCCTGGCTAATTTTGTATTTTAGTAGAGACGTGGTTTCACCATGTTGCCCAGGCTGGTCGCAAACTCCTGGCTCAGGCAAACCTCCCGCCTCGGCCTCCCAAAGTTTTGGGATTACAGGTCTAAACCACTGCACCCGGCCAAAAAATTTTTAAAAATTAGCTGGGTATGGTGGTACACGCCTATAGTCCCAGCTCCTCAGGAGGCTGAGGTGGGAAGATCTGCTTGAGCCTGGGAATTCAAGGCTGCAGTGAGCTGTGATCGCACCACTGCACTTCAGCCTGGGTGACAGAGCAAGACCCTGTCTCAAAAAACAAAAACAAAAAAAAGCATCCCTGAGTTTGATATAAATAAAGAAATAAATAAGAAGAAGAAGAAGAGCTCTTTCTTATAGTAGCATGCCCAACTAATAAATGAAAAAGGTACAAAAGAGTTACAAAATTACCATTTTACAATCATCATAGTAAAATACTGATTCAAGCAAGAATCATTAATGGATGCTTCTGGGTGAAAGCTTGAGGAAAACAGGATATTTTCGGTCTCACAGTATCTCCCTACAAACTACTTATAAATTACAAAGGAAAAAACACTAACTTTATAGTGGAAAAACCTAGCAGCCACCTCTAAACCAAGTGACCCAAGTTAACTTAACCAACAAGGGACAAACTGACATCACGGACTTCCTGATGTGATACACTGAGGACACAATACCATTTCTGTAATGGCACAGCAAAAATATGCATTATCTGAGTTTAATCACAAATAAACCAATCAAATTAATCCAATATAACAGTTCTACAAAATTAGCCTATACCCTACAAAAATGTCTGTTAGGAAAAAACAAATGCTGAGGATCTGTTTCAGATTAAAGAAGAATGAAGAGATATGGCAACGAAATACAATATGATTCTGTATTGGATCCAGGATTGGAGAAAATTGCTATAAAGGAATTACTAGAAATCAACTGACAAAATCTGAAACATGAGCTGTATATCAGAAGATAGTACTGTATCAGGCCGGGCATGGTAGCTCACGCCTGCAATCCCAGCACTTCAGGAGGCCAAGGTGGGTGATCACTTGAGGTCAGGAGATTGAGACCAACCTGACCAAGATGGTGAAACCCCGTCTCTACTAAAAATACAAAAATTAGCTGGGTGTGGTGGCGGGCGCCTGTAATCTCAGCTAGTTGGGAGGCTGAGGCAGAAGAATCATCTGAACCCAGGAAGTGGAGGTTGCAGTGAGTTGAGATAGCACCACTGCATTCCAGCCTGGGCAACAACGCGAGACTCTGTATCAATGTTAAATTTCCTGAATTTTTACAACTCTTCCATGGTTATTAATCTTATTTTTAGGAAATACATAGTGAAAAGAAATGAGGTGTAAAGGATCAGGATAGATCTGCAACCTACTCTCAAATGGTTCAACAACAAGGAGAGAATGATTAAAGCAAATGTAGCTAAATGGCAACTGGTGAATCCAGGTAAAAAAATATACAGAGATCACTGTACTATTCTTGCAACTTTCTGCAAATGTGCAATGTTTTCAAAATCAAAAGTTTTTTTTAAAAAAGTAACTATTTCAATGATGTAATCAAAGTATAGGAAATTAAAGAACAGTGCTAAATATACTGGGACATATCTTTATTTTGTTTTTGTTTTTTTGAGACAGTCTCGCTCTGTCGCACAGGCTGGAGTGCAGTGGCATGATCTCGGCTCACTGCAACCTCTGCCTCCCAGGTTGAAGTGATTCTCCTGCCTCAGCCTCCCGAGTAGCCAGGACTACAGGCGTGTGCCACTACACCTGGCTAATTTTAGTATTTTTAATAGAGACGGGGTTTCACCATATTAGCCAGGCCGGTCTGGAACTCCTGACCTCAGGCAATCTGCCCGCCTCAGCCTCCCAAAGTGTTGGGATTACAGGCATGAGCCACTGCGCCTGGCCTGGGACATATATTTAAAGTTCCTTCTAAAAAATAAACTTCAGGGCAGGTACAGTGGTTCATGCCTGTAGTCCCAGCTCTTTGGGAGGCGCAGGTGGGAGGATCACTTGAGGCCAGGAGTTCAAGGCCAGCCTGGGCAACATAGGGAGACCCAATCTCTACAAAAAATTTTTTAAAAAAAGCCAGGCATGATGGTGTGTGCCTGTAGTCCCAGCTACTCGGAGGCTCAGGTGGGAGGACTGCTTATGCCCAGGAGGTTCAGGCTGCAGTGAGCTTTGATCACACTACTGCACTCCAGCCTGGGTGACACAGCGAGACCCTATCTCAAAAATAAATAAATAAATAATAAATAAATAAACTTCTCTCAACTGCTTATTTGATCATAGAATAACAACTTAAGCTTTCTATTACAGCTTTAGGGGAATACATGCTACTAGAAGTAATTTAGCAAAATGGTAGCAGAAAAAAGTAGTAGTTATGATTATGGGCTCTGGAGTCAGATTGCCTAAAATCTATACTCCAGCCATTTGTATGTTCATGAACAATTATCCAATTCTATCAATGCACAAAGCAGCAAATAATAATACCATCATTAATACTGCTGTGAGAATTAAATAATGCATTTACAGCACTAAATGGTAGGTATTAAAATAACTGGTGTCTCAATGTAAAAAAACACCATTATAACATATATTTTAAGATAAACCACATTAAAAATAAGAAGAAAATAAAATTTGATTTCTAAATCTAAAAGAAAAAGAATGAAAATTTTTTTTTCCATACTAATTTGACAAATATTTTACTAAGTTACTTACTCATCCCCAAAGAGTTGATGGGTATACTCAGGAAAGAAAGTTCTAATGTCATTTTCAAGATCTTCAGGAAAACGAACTGTTTCAAGGGACAAAAAAATAGAGATATTAAAGATAACTAAAGATATTGAAGGTGACAGGTATTCCTATTTCATGAGTTTCAGTATAACTAGGATACAGCCAACATTTTTCTTACTAAAAGTGTCATTTCACCATTATATGATTTATTTACACTGTATTCTCAAGAGACTAGTGAACAAAGAAAATTAAAATATTACTTTGAGTGCTTCAGCGTCAAAACCCTACTTATTCTAAGAATCAGAAGGCTAAGTATGACAGAGGCACCTCATTTAGTTTTTATTTTTCCATGTTTATGCACAATGCAATGAGTAAAGGAAAAACAAAAAGACACTTTGAGGTAAGAAGTTACAGCAAATGAAAACAGAATGCTGTAAGAAACATTCTGATAATAACAATAACCTGAGTTTGATGAAGTCATTCTTTTTGACTGCTAGATGACATTTATGTTGTTCTCATGTTTGTTTTTTGCTATTAAAAATAACACTGCAATGACATCCTTATATACATCCTGCTGTACTTTTATAAGTATACACAGGGGAAATTCCTGGCAGCAGAAAACTAGGGGGAGAGTACTGAAATATTTGTATAAATATTGCTAAAGTGGCCAGGTGCAGTGGCTCATGCCTGTAATCCCAGCACTTTGGGAGGCCAAGGCAGGTGGATCATCTGAGGTCAGGAGTTCACGCCCAGCCTGGCTGACATGGTGAAACCATCTCTACTAAAAATTCAAAAATTAGGCTGGGCACAGTGGCTCATGCCTGTAATCCCAACACTCTGGGAGGCTGAGGTGGGCAGATTACCTGAGGTCAGGAGTTCAAGACCAGCCTGGCCAACATGGTGAAACCCCATCTCTACTAAAAATACAAAAATTAGCCGGGCATGGTGGCACACAACCTGTAATCCCAGCTACTTGGGAGGCTGAGGCAGGAGAACTACTTGAGCCCAGGAGGCGGAGGTTGCAGTGAGCCGAGATCGTGCCACTGCACTGCAGCCTGGCCAAGAGAGCGAGACTCTCTCTCAAAAAAATAAATAAATAAATAAATAATTGGCTAGCCATGGTGGCGCATGCCTGTAGTCCCAGCTACTTAGAGGGCTGAGGCAGGAGAATCGCTTAAATCCAGGAGGTAGAGGTTGCAGTGAGCCAAGATCATGCCACTGCACTCCAGCCTGGGCGACAAAGACTGTCTCAAAAAAAAAAAAAAAAAAATTATAGATAGCTAGCTAGCTAGCTAAAGTGCCCTATAAAAATATTGTAACAGTTTATACACCCACAAGCAGTTTATATACCCATAGCTTGTAGACTCCTTTGCTCCCTACATCCTTGAGAACACTCTGCTGTACTCAAGGATACTCTGTACCCTCGACTTCAATTTCTATCAATCTAAGATGGAATGGGTATCCTTTTATTATTTTTATTTGTATTTGTTGTGAGTACTGAAATACTAGATAGTTCCCTGATAAAATTTATCTTAGGAAGAAAATTTTATTCATTAAAAAATTCTTAAGCAATTGAAGAATGTAAAGAAAAATTGGAGGGCTGGGCGCGGTGGCTCACACCTGTAATCCCAGCACTTTGGGAGGCTGAGGCAGGCAGATCACTTGAAGTCAGGAGTTCAAGACCAGCCTAACCAATATGGTGAAATGCCATCTCTACTAAAATACAAAAATTAGCCAGGCATGGTGGTAGGTCCCTATAATCCCAACTACTCTGGAGGCTGAGGCATGAGAATCGCTTGAACCTGGGAGGAGGAGGTTGCATTGAGCTGAGATTGTGCCACTGCGCTCCAGCCTGGGTGACCGAGCGAGACTCCGTCTCAGGGGGAAAAAAGAAGATAAACTGTAGATGAAAAATTTCTAACACTGTCCTCACAGACCAGGTCACTCCCTGCATGCCAAAGTATCACCAGCATATTACTAATTTACAGAAGAAAAGGTATATTTTCACTGTAGAGATCTGGTAGTCACCTCCTTTCCAAATGATCTAACTTAGCATCATTCATTGTGGGACAGAACAACATTATGTGCCTCCTGATTCAATGCAATATGAAGTACAGTCATCCCTCAGTATACTCAAGAGACTGGCTCTAGGACCCCTGACTGTACCAAAATCCATCATACTCAAGTCCTGTAGTTCTGTCTGGTGTCCCACTGTACTTTCTATCTGCATTTGGTAGGAAAAAAAGTCCATGTGTAAGTGGACCCACACAGTTCAAGTCGTGTTGTTCAAGGACCAACTGTATGCTGCATCACCCATGAAGTTTTCTCACCAAAAATTTTTATCTTAAATCTAATCAAGCTTTTTACCTTCCAATTCACAGGAAATACAGAGGATAGAGGAGGAAGTTAAACTAATATCAAAAGGAAATACACAAATCCAGAATGTACATTTATCTGTGCAATGACTTTACTCTCCCAAATAAATCAATGTCATGTAGGGGAAAAGTTGCATGTGGACGGAAAGGGACTGCTCTGTATTAAAAGAGATTATTTAAGAAACATTACAACTAAATGCAGTGCACAATCCCTTACTGGATCCTTGTTTAAGTATTTTTTTTTTTTTTTGAGACAGGGTTTCATTGTCACCCAGGCTGGAATACAGTGGCACAATCACAGCTCACAGCAACCTTGAAATCCTGGGCTCAAAAGATCTTCCCGCCTCAGCCTTTAAAGTAGCTGAGACTACAAGCGCAAATCACCATGAACAACTAATTTTTTAAATTTTTTGTACAGATGGGGGTCTTTGTTGCCCAGGCTCGTATCCAATTTCTGGGCTCAAGCCATCCTCCACTTCAGCCTCCCAAAGTGCTGGAATTACAGGCATGAGCCACCATGCCTGGACTAATTTTTTTTAAAGCTATTAAAGTGTTTTGATGGCAACTAGGGAAACCAGAAATTACGCAGTATTGAAAAAATTACCATTAATTTTCTTAAGTGTGATAACACTATTATGGATACATATATATATATATATATATATATATATGAATGTCCATATATTAGGAGATATACTATAGGGAAGTGTCATGATGTTTAGATACCTACTGTCAAATAATTCAGCAAAAATACACACATACTAAAGCAAATATGGCAAAATGTTAACTGTTGAATCTAGGTGTTAAATATACATGAGTATTGTTTTATTCTCTCAATTGTTCTGTGTTTAAAATGTTTCATAACAAAAATTTAAAGAAAAAAAAGAGGCTTAGGCAAATGCAGCCAAATGTTAAGACTTGAAAAAGCAGAGTGATGGGATCAGAGATATTGCTTAGTTTCCTTTTTTTTTTTTTTTTTTTTTTTTTTTTGAGACAGAGTCTCTCTCTGTCGCCCAGGCTGGAGTGCAATTGCATGATCTCGGCTCACTGCAACCTCTGCCTCCCGGGTTCAAGTGATTCTCCTGCCTCAGCCTCCCAAGTAGCTGGGATTACAGGCACCCGCCACCCAAAAATTAGCGCCCAGCTAATTTTTGTATTTTTAGTAGAGACGGGGTTTCACCATGTTGGCCAGGCTGGTTTCAAACTCCTGACCTCAGGTGATCTGCCCGCCTCAGCCTCCCAAAGTGTTGGGATTACAGGCAAAGCCACCGTGCCCAGCCAGCACTGTATTTTTTGTATGCCTGTAATAGTTAAAAAAAAAAAAAAGTCAAATATGTCCAGACTCACTAACCTAAAAATTCACAACTACTACATCTCTAATGTTTGAAAATGTTTGGAAAATCTAGAAATTGTGAAAAATTAATTTTCAAACTAATATGTATATTATATGACATTTTGGTAGTGATGGGTAAAAAGACATAGAGAAAAGAACAAGTAATGAGTAAGAAAAGTTGTCTTAAGCCTAGTTATGATAATAATTTCTAAAATTCAGATTGGCCTTCTTCTGATGCCCCTGTCATCCAAATTAGTGAGGTTTTAATATTTTCCCATAAAATTTGGTCCACAGAAAATAGGAACTAAAAGTTGGTATTTGGCGGATCTAAGGTTCAACCAGTGTGACATATATATGTCACATATATATATGTTACTTGAGAACATGTACAAAATGTGAACTTTCTCCAGGATATCAGAAACATTAAATATTTTCAAGTCTTTATAAGGCAGGTATGGCAGTACAGCAAACAAGCAACCCAAATGTCACAGGTGAATGATTAAATAAATTACAGTAAATACATGAAATGGCTTACATAATTATTAAACATGTTATCATGACAAACATAGGAAAATGTTCACAATGCAGAGTTAAGTGAACAGAACATGATACGGTAACCTCGATTTTATAAAAGGGAAACAATAGAAATGAATACATAATAAAAAAATACTAGAAGAAAACACTCCAAATTATAATACAGAGGTAGGTATTTTGAGTGATGAATTATGGATAATTTTTATTTCATATACTTTTATCTACTTTCCAAATTTTCTGCAAAATATGTATTACCACAATACTCAGAAAAAATATACAGTATAAAAAACTGAAACAATTCAAAATAAGCACTAAAAACCTATGTTGCAGCTGGGCACAGTGGCTCATGCCTGTAATCCCAGCACTTTGGGAGGCCAAGGCAGGTGGATCACCTGAGGTCAGGAGTTCAAGACCAGCCTGGCCAACATGGTGAAGCCCCGTCTCTATTAAAATTACAAAACTTAGCTGGGTGTGGTGGTGTGCACCTGTAATCCCAGCTACTCAGAAGGCTGAACTAGGAGAATTGCTTGAACCCAGGAGGCAGAGGTTGCAGTAAGCCGAGATCGAGCCACTGCACTCCAGCCTGGGTGACAGAACAAGACTCCATCTCAAAAAACAAAAACAAAAAAAATCTATGTCACTCACACTTTTGTAGAAAAATGGAAGCTCAGGGCCTGGAATACTAAATGGCACCTTATTGCTCTATAGGAGGGGCCCCCAAACACCATGTATCGGTTTGTGGCCTGTTAGGAACCAGGCTGCACAGCAGGAGATGAGTAATGGGTAAGCTGGAAAAGCTTCATCTGTATTTACAGTTGTCCCCCACTGCTTGCACTACTGCCTGAGCGCCGCCTTCTGTCAGATCAGTGGTGGCATTAGACTCTCATAGGAGCAAAAACCCTACTGAGAACTGCTCATGCAAGGGATCTAGGTTGACGGCTCCTTATGAGAATCTAATGCCTGATGATCTGAGGTGGAGCTGAGGCAGTGATACTAGCACTGGGGAGCGGATGCAAATACAGATTAACGTTAGCAGAGAGGTTTGACTGCAAAGAGACCATAATAAATCAATTGCTTGCAGACTCATATCAAAACCCTATCAGCCCAGCCTGGCCAACAAGGAGAAACCCCGTCACTACTAAAAATACAAAACTTAGCCAGCTGTGGTGGCACACACCTAAAATCACAGCTACTCCAGAGGCTGAGGCAGGAGAATCACTTGAACCCAGGAGGTGGAGGTTGCAGTGAGCCGAGATCCCGCCACTGCACTCCAGCCTGGACAACAGAGCGAGACTCTGTCTCAAAAAAAACAAAACAACAACAAAAAAAACACCAACCCTATCAGTGAGTAGTGAGTGGCAAGTGACAACTAAGCTGCATCTGGTGGCAGGCTTTATAATGGCAAGTGAGTTCATGTAGTTCCATTGTACAGCTACATCTAGTGGCAGGCTTTAAGTCAGAATCCAACATTTATTTTAGTCCCCATGTTGCCAACCCATTATTTTATTTGCGACTTCCATCTGTGCCTCTTTCTCACACTGTACACTTGTCTCAGTCACAGTTTTGGTAAGTCTTTTTGCTAACCCTAGTCAAAATGAGTGAAAAACAAATATCACTGAAGAGCTTCTTTGAAAAAGGGGAAAGACCCAATGATGAGACAGCAGAAGACTCTAAGACTGCCAACAAAAAGAAAGCTGCATTTAAAATACCAAGAGTCCTACTTAAATTATGGGTTCACTGCAACAGGTGATTCACATTCTCCAAGCCCTCTGTGTATAGTACATGGTGACCAGCTATCCAACAAAGCCACAAAACCTTCAAAACTGCTTAGTTACATCGAGACCAAGCACCCTGCATTAAAAGACAAGCCTTTGGAGTTTTCAAAAGAAAAAAACATGAACATGAAGAACAGAAGCAATTTATTGAAGGCCACCACTTCATCAAATGCGTCTGCACTGAGAGCTCCATTCTTAATGGCTAACCAAATTGCTAAAACTAAGAAGCCCTTTACTACTGGTGAAGAGTTAATCCTGCCTGCTGCTAAGGACATTTGTCGTGAACTTTTAGGAGAGGCTCGAATTCAAAAGGTGGCGCGTGTTCCTCCTTAGGCTCATACCATAACTAGAAGAACTAATGAAATAGCAGGGGATATTGAGGCACAATTGTTAGAGAGGGTTGAGTCACCATGGTGCACAATCCAGGTTGACGAGTCTACCAATGTTGACAACAAGGCAACAACGCTTGTTTTTGTGCAATATATTTTTCAGGAGGATGTGCATGAGAATACGTTATGTGTACTTTTCTTGCCAACCAATACCACACTGCAGAACTATTCAAGTCTTTGAATGATTACATATCAGGGAAACTGAATTGGTCATTTTGTGTTGGTATATGCATGGACGAAGTGGCTGCCATGACTGGACAGCTTTCTGGTTTCATTATTCAGGTCAAAGAGGTCACCTTGGCCAGACGCAGTGGTTCATGCCTGTGATCCCAGCACTTTTGGAGGCTGAGGTGGGAGGATCGCTGAGTCCAGGAGTTTGAGACTAGCCTGAGCAATACAGTGATACCCTTTCTCTACACATAATAAAAAATTAGCTGGGTGTGGTGGCATGTGCCTGTAGTCCCAGGCAGAACTGCTTGAGCTCAGGAAGTTGAGGCTACAATGAGCCATGACTGCGCCACAGCAGTCAGCTTGTGCAATAAAGTGAGACCCTGTCTTAAAAAAAAAAAAAAGAAAAAAAGGAGTTGTTTCCAAATGTGAGTCTACGCACTATTTCATCCATTGAGTAATGCTGGCTAGCTAAAAAATGTCACCTGAACTTGACATTTTGCAGGACGTAATTAAAATTATCAACCACATTAAAGTATATGCCCTTACCTCACACCTGTTCACATTGCTCTGTGAGGAAATGGACACAGATCACACATATCTTCTCTTATACACAGAAGTGAGATAGCTTTCTAAAAGTAGATCACTGGCTAAAGTTTTTGAGTTACAACAGCCGCTCCAGAGATTTCTTTTAGAAAAACAGTCACCACGGGCAGCACATTTCAGTGACACAGAATGGGTCACAAAACTTGCTTATTTTTGTGACATATTCAACCTGTTTAACAAACTTGATCTATCACTTCAAGGGAGAACAACAATTGTGTTCAAGTTGGCAGATAAAGTGGCTGCATTCAAAGCCAAAGCAGAAGTATTAGGGTGACGAGCGAACACTGGGTTTGTTGACATGTTTCAAACATTAGCAGAGATTTTGAAAGGCCCTGGCTCACAGGGTCCTCTTACTTCCAGCTGGTGCACGATCACCTATCTCAGCTTTCAAAAGAGTTTGAGCATTAATTCCCAACCACAAAAGAACCCTGAACTGGGAAGGAATGGATCCGTGACCCATTTTTGAATAAGTCAGGTGAATCGACTTTATCCGTGCTGGAATAGGGTCAACTGCTTAAGACAGCAAATGAAGGTGGCCTTAAAAGTGTGTTTGAAGCCGGGCCTGGTGGCTCACATCTATAATCCCAGCACTTTGGGAGGCCAAGGCAGGCGAATTGCTTGAGTCCAGGGGTTCAAGACCAGCCTGAGCAACATGGCGAAACCCCGTCTCTACTAAAATTACAAAAATTAGTGGGGTTTGGTGGTATACACCCATAGTCCCAGCTACTTGGGAGGCTGAGGCACGAGAATCACTTGAATCCAGGAAGTGGAGGTTGCAGTGAGCTGAGACTGCACCACTGCACTGTAGTGTGGACAATAGAGCAAGACCCTGTCTCAAAAAAAAAAAATATGTTTCAGACAACTTCAAATCTCCTTATGTTCTGGATTAAAATCAAGGCAGAACATCCTGAGATTGCCAGAAAAGTACTGAAAAGCCTGCTTCCATTCTCAACATCTTATCCTTGTGAGGCAGGGTTTTCTGCAATGACAGCAACCAAAACGAGATTACAGAGTAGACTGGACATAAGCAATACACTTCAGGTGTCACTGTATCCATCACCCCCAGATGGAACTGTCTAGTTGCAGGAAAACAAGCTCAGGGTTTCCACTGATTCCACAGTGAGGTGTATAATAATTTCATTATAATTACAATGTAAATAGAAAAAGTGTACAATGAATGTAATGCGCTTGAATCATCCCAAAACCATTCCCCGCAAACCTCCCTCCCTGGTCTGAAGAAAAATTGTCTTCCACTAAACTGGTCCCTGGTGCCAAAAAAGTTGGGGACTGCTGCTATATAGAACATAGGGCCTGCAATGATTCTTCCTTTTGAATATATTTACTGTTGCTTCTTTCTTTCTTTTGTAGAGACAGAGTCTTGCTATGTTGCCCAGACTGGTTTTGAACTCCTCTAGCCTTAAGCAATCCTCCTACCTTGGCCTCCCAAAGTGCTGGGATTATAAGTGTGAGCCACCATGCCTGCCCTGCCCTATTGTTTCTACTCTTACAGTTCATTTAAAGAGAGAGAGAGAGAGAGAGAGAGAGAGAGAGAGAGAGAGAGAGAGAGAGAGAGAGAGAGAGAATCAGTAGACAGACAGATAGATAGATGGGGTCTTGCTCTGTTGCCCAGGCTGCAGTGCAGTGTACAATCCCAGCTAACTGCAGCCTTGATCTCCTGTGCTCAAGCCTCCCAAGTAGCTGAGACTATAAGTGTGTACCACACACTTGGCTAATTGTTTGATTTTTTTTAAGAGACAAGGTCTCGCTATGTTGCTTAGGCTGGCCTCAAACTCCTGGCTTCAAGTGATCCTCCTCCCTCAGCCACCCTTTTTCCTACAGCTCCATTACTATAATTAACCATCATGCTACTTCTATTTCAGAGTTACTGATGACTTTATTGTACAATTAGTGCTGTTCTGCTTTTCTTCACTCTCCTTGAACTCCATAACAGTAGATGTTATTAAACTCTTTTTCTACCCGAAATATTATTCTTCCTTTCTCACTTATATACTATACCTCCTTGTTTTTCTGACTTAACCTGGTTTCTTTTGCTGCCACTCCCTTAGATATAGGCATTTTCCAAGACTTGGTCCTTGGTCTGCCCTTCTTTCACAGTGTGTTCCTTTCAGAGCTCATCTTTTTTCCTGGCTTCAACTATCACCAGCAACAGTACCACCAGAGCCAGCTCTCCCCTCCAATCTTTGTGTCCCTGTCAGTGGCACCACCTTTTTATAGGCACAAACCACCATGTATGGCAATAAGTTCATATACTTCCTAGTTCTTAGAATCACTTCAGTAGTTTTGGAGAGGCAAGATGCATGAAAGAAGATATAGTCTACATGTCTTATTAACCAAAAGTAAAATTAAGAAATCACCAAGGCACATTATTTTAATCAATTTTTAAAGCTTGTTTAATAAATACATAAGAGTTCAAGACCAGCTTGGGCAACACGGCAAAACCCCATCTCTACAAAAAATACAAAAATTCACTGGGCGTGGTGGCACACATCTGTAGTCCCAGCTACTCAGGAGGCTGAGGTGGAAGGATCACTTGAGCCTGGGAGGCAGAGGTTGCAATGAGCCGAGATCACACCACTGCACTCCAGCCTGGGCAACAGAGCCAGACCCTATCTCAAATAAATAAATAAATACTTAAGTATTTAACACATTTAATATATATGATCTATCAACAGGTGCTCATAATGCAGACATAAATGGATTCTGGCCCCCACGGGGTATAGTATCTAATTGTATTCTGGACTACATCTAAGTTTATTCATAATCCTGTGTTCTTTAAATAACTGAAATCTTAGCATATTGCCCGATACATCTTTTCCTACCCATGCTAAATTGAAAAACAAGCTTAATTATATAATTTTAAAACACAAGAGTGGCCCCAGTGTGCTGGCAACATTCCCATCAGCACAAACAATCTGCAAAATGAGGTATCTCAACATTAAATATTCCCTAGAGATGCCATAATTAATCCCATCACACTCTTTATTCCCATTAACAGCAGTCCAATTCTTAAAAATTCCCTTATCACTGGGATTCTCATCCCTGTATTATACAGTAGTATAAAAATACTCATCTAATTTCCCACCCCTTCCCAACTCATTGTGACCACTGTGAAACTTAGAGGTCAGTTACCACCAAAATTCTCCATATCCCCAACCTCTTTATCAAATGCTCTCCTATCTTGCGCTAACAGTTCTTTGGCACACATGGCTCTCCCCTAAGGATGCTCCTGTCTTACAGACCTCTCAGGTAGTGGTTGTTTTCTCTGTCTTCATACTGCTAGAACAAGGTATCCTCCTTGCTCCTCATTGCTGGTTTCAGACTAATGTCTCTCTCCCCACACACTAAGAATAAACCACTTTAAAGTTCATGCTCCACCTCTCTCCCTCATTCTTTGAATAATTTAGCTCCAGGCTCACTGTTGCACTTTCCAACACTACATCTGACTTAAATCTTGGTAACTTCAAAATTAATGAAAATGAATCTTCCAATCCAGCCTTGCAGTTCCTTGATTCCTCCCCAAGAATTTTGTCTTTACTGTACCTTAGCCACTTATTCCCATGATGTGCCCTAGCCTTTATTTATCATTATTGACAATTATACCTCCTTAATCTCTATTTCAAACATTGTACCATCTTACCATCACCACTTATCTTCCTACCTCACTCCCTATACCCCCAATTCTTTTTTGTTTTGTTTTTTGTTTTTTGAGACAGGGTCTGGCTCTGTCACCCAGGCTGGAGTGTTGTGGCACAACCAATCACAGCTCACTGCAACCTCAACCTCCCAGGCTCAGGTGATCCTCCTGCCTCAGCCTCCTGAGTAGCTGGGACCACAAGCACGCACCTCCACACCCAGCTAATATTTTATTTTTTGTAGAAATGGGGTCTCCCTATGTTGCCCAAGCTGGTCTCAAACTCCTGGGCTAAAGTGATCATCCTGCCTGGGCCTCCCAAAGTGCTGGGATTACAAGCATGAACCACCACACCCAACCATACCCCAATTCTAACAATTCTTCAGCCCCCACCAAGACTTAAAATGAATTTTGTCTTTTTTTTTTTTTTTTTTTTTTGAGATGGAGTTTTGCTCTTGTTGCCCAGGCTGGAGTGCAATGGCACAATCTCAGCTCACAGCAACCTTGGCCTCCAAGGTTCAAACGATTCTCTTGCCTCAGTCTCCCAAGTAGCTGAGATTATAGGCATGTGCCACCATGCCCAGCTAATTTTTGTATTTTTAGTAGAGACGGGGTTTCACCATGTTGGCCAGGCTGGTCTCGAACTCCTGACCTCGGGTGATCCACCCGCCTCTGCCTCCCAAAGTGCTGGGATTACAGGCATGAGCCACCGTGCTTGGCCACAATGAATTGATTTGAACATAATTTCACTGTCCCTCTTCTACTTCATATCCTCGTTTTCCTCCCTTTCCAGTGCAGAATTCCATGGTCCATCAATGTTATTACTCCATCCTAAACATCCTCAACCCCTTGGCCTTAATTTTTTTCATAGCAGCCTCGTAAAAAGAAAACCACTCTAGGCCAGGCGCGGTGGCTCACGCCTGTAATCCCAGCACTTTGGGAGGCCGAGGCAGATGGATCACTTGAGGTCAGGAGTTTGAGACCAGCCTGGCCAACATGGCGAAACCCCGCCTCTACTAAAAATACAAAAATTAACTGGGCGTGGTGGTGGGCGCCTGTAATCCCAACTACTTGGGAGGCTGAGGCAGGAGAAGCACTTGAACTCCAGAGGCGGAGGTTGCAGTGAGCTGAGATCGCGCCATTGCACTCCAGCCCGGATGACAAGACCAAAATTCTGTCTCAAAAAAAAAAAAAAAAAACCCACTCTAGTTAAATTTAACTATATGTCTATTCTTTGTGGCACACTTTCATCTGGACGTGGCTGACCTCACTTTACATTCATGAGAACTAACTTGAAGTGGGCCCTTAGTGCTACCTGACAATGGTAACAGTTCTCAAGTCTACTCACTCCTCCCACTCACCTAGATGACTATTTCCTCAAATCTCCAACGCCTTCTTCTATAAGCACGTTCTCCACAGATGACCTTGCTTACTATCTCACTTAGGAAACAGAAGCATTCAGAAAAGAAACTGCACAAAATGCTTCCTCTACACCTTCTAACTTACTGCAGCAATTCCTGTATACCCTCCTTCATCTTGTTATGGTAGAAATTCTCCATGCTCCTATCTAAGGCTAATCCTTCCACTGATTAATAAAATACTTACCCCTCTTACATTGTCAAGGATATTACTCAACAAATACTCCCCTTCTCTGATACTTCCAGAAATACTCCTGTATTATTTCCCCCTTCTCTGATAGATCATTGGCATCAGCATATAAACATGCTGTTATTTCTTACAGGTTTAAAACATTCTCATTTCTATATTAATAGCTAACAAAGTAGACTTAAATATGAGGCAAGATGGGTTAAAGAGGGGACAGAGATAAAGATGGAACATTTTATAATGAGTAAGGTCAATTCACCAAGAAGACATAGGAAGTCTAAATCTGTATGTACCTAATATCAGAGCTGCAAATACATCAAGCAAAAATTAATGACTGAAGACATAGACAATCCACAATTCCAGCTGGAGATTTTGACAGTTCTCTCAATTGTCCTAATCGCTAGAAAGTCAGTAAAAATATAAAAGACTTTAATACTATTAAGTCAATTTACACTTATAGAACACTACATAAAACTGCAGACTATAAATTATTTTTCAGTGCACCTAGGACACTGACCAAACAGATCCTACATGATAAGCTATAAAACAAGGCTCAATGAATTTAAAAGGACTGAAATAAGACTATATTGTCTGACCTTGACAGAACTAATTCAGAAATCAGTGACAATAAGACAGCTAGAAAAGTCCCAAATATTTGGAAATTAAGTAACCCTCTTCTATATAACTCATGGGTCAAAAAAGAAGTCGCAAGGGAAATTTAAAAATATTTTGAATTGAGCAATAAAAATAGAACATAACAGAATTGGTAGGATGCAACTATATCAATATTTAGAGGTAAATTTTTTTTTCTTTTTTTTTTTGAGACAGAGTCTTGCTCCGTCACCCAGGCTGGAGTGCAGTGATGCGATCTTGGCTCACTGCAACTAGAGGTAAATTTATAACATTAATGCTAGTATTAGAAAAGGAAAGTTTAAAGTTAATTATATACACATCTACTTTAAAAAGAAAGATCTTAAAAAAAGCAAATTAGACCAGGTAAGGTGGCTCATGCCTGCAATCCTAACACTTTGGGAGGCCAAGGCAGGAGGATCACTTGAGCCCAGGAGTTCGAGACCACCCTGAGCAACACAGTGAGACTCCATCTCTACAAAAAAAATACAAAAGTTAGCTAAGTGTGGTGGTGTACACCTGTAGTCCCAGCTACTCAGGAGGCTGAGGTGAGAGGGTCACTTGAGCCAAGAGGTTGAGGCTACAGTGAGCCATGATCACACCACTGCACTCCAGCCTCGGCAACAGAGCAAGACCTTGTCTCAAAAGAAGGAATAAAAAAATTAACCCAAAGTAAGATGAAAGAATTTATAAAGATTAAGAAAACAGATAAATAACAGACAAAGGCAATGCTGAAAAGATCAGTAAGATTGGTAAACTTGTAAGGAGACATTAAAAGACAAAGAGAAAAAGAATTACCAATACCCCCAAGAAGGGATTATAGATTCTAGAGTCACTTATTTTATTTTTTGAGACAGCGTCTGGCTCTGTCACCCAGACTGGAGTGCAGTGAGATGATCGCAGCTCACTGTAACCTCCACCTCTCCGGCTCAAGTGATCCTCCCACCTCAGCCTCCCAAGTAGCTAGGACTATGGGTGCATGCCACCATGCTTGGCTAATTTTTAAATTTTATTTTATTGTTGAGATCTCATTATATTGCCCAGGCTGGCCTTGAACTCTTGGGCTCAAGCGATCCTTCTGCCTTGGCCTCCCAAAAGATCTGGGATTACATGTCTGAGCCACTGCACCTCGCTCTACAGTCATTTAAATGGTAACAGGGGAATACTGTAAGCAACTTTCTGCCAAGAAAGTTAGATAAAATAGAGAAATACTTTAAAAGACAAAAATCACCAAAACTGACACAAGAAGAAACAGAAGATCAGAACAGTATTAAATCTATTTATTAGATGTATAGTTAAAAACCTTCCAACAAAGAAAACTCAAGGCACATAAAACTTCACTGGTGAATGCTACTGAACATTTAAAGGAATAATGCAGTCTTATACAAATTCTTCCAGAAGATAGAGAAGAAACAGTTCCCAACTCATTTTATGAGGCCAGGAAACCTTGATACCAAAATCAAGCAAAGACGTATGAAAAAAGAAACCATTACCTGTCATGAACAAAGAGTCTTAACAAAACATTGCCAAGTCAAATCTAGCAAAGCAGAAAAAGGATAATATACTGGCATGCAAGGCTAATTTAACACTTAAAACCTCATCAATGTAATTCACCACATTATCAGAATTAAAGGAGAAAAATCTTATGATTATCTTGATAAAGAAAAAGCATTAGAAGGTAACACTTTCATAATAAAAACTCTCACCAAACTAGGAATAGAAGGAAACTTCCTCAACCTGATAAAGGGCACATATGAAAAACCTACAGCTAACATCATAGTGAATGGTGAAAGGCTCAAAATTTTCCTTCTTCAATTGGGAATAAGGCAAGGATGTCTACTCTATCACTTCCATTTGACATTGTAATAGAGGTTCTGGCCAGTGCAGTAAGGCAAGAAAATGAAACACAAGTGGCTCTCCACATATGCAGGTTCCACATCCACTGATTCAACCAATTACGGATCAACATGAGATTGGCTGAATCCTCAAACACAGAATCTGCAGATACAAAGAGCTGACTGTACTATATGGCTGTTTTTCCCCCCCGAGACACAGTCTTGCTTTGTCGCCCAGGCTGGAGTGCAGTGGCACAATCTCGGCTCACTGCAACCTCCACCTCCTGGGCTCAAGCAATTCTCCTGCCTCAGCCTCCCAAGTAGCTGGGATTACAGGTGTGTGCCATCACGCCCAGCTAATTTTTGTATTTTTAGTAGAGACGGAATTTCACCATGTTGACCAGGCTTGTCTTCTCGAACTCTTGCCTCAGCCTCCCAAAGTGCTGGTATTACAGGCGTGAGCCACCATGCCCGGCTATATGGCTATCTATCTATCAAGACAGGGTCTCACTCTGTCACTCACACTGGAGTGCAGTGGCACAATCACAGCTCACTGCAGCCTAGAACTCTTGGGCTCAGGCAGATCCTCCCACCTCAGCCTCCTGAGTAGCAACTACAGATGCACACCATCATGCCTGGCTAATTCTTGTATTTTTTGTAGAGATGGGGTTCTGCCATGTTGCTCAGGCTGGTCTCAAACTCCTGGGCTCAAGCAATCTGCCTGCCTCAACCTCCCAAAGTGCTAGATTACAGATGTGAGCCACCATGCCCAGCCACACTATGGCATTTTGTATAATGGACCGGATCATCGGCAGATTTTGGTATTCACGGGGGATCGTGGAACCAAATCCCTGAAGATACCAATGGACAACTGTATAAGGCAAAGAAAAACTGTGACTTTCTTCATTAACAGGTAATGTTTGTGTGCAGGAAATCTGAAATAATCTACATCTAAAAAAAAAAATCCTATAGCTGGGTGTGGTGGCTTATGTCTGCAACCCTAGCACTTTGGGAAGCTGAGGCAAGAGGATTGCTTGAGCCCAGGAGTTCAAGACCAGCATGGGCAATATAGTGAGGCCCTGTCCCTAGAAAAAAAAAAAAATTTTGCCAAGCATGGTGGCACGCACCTATAGTCCCAGCTATTCAGGAGGCTGAGGTGGGAGGTTCGCTTGAGCCTGGGAAGTCAAGGCTATAGTGAGCCACAATCACGCCACTCTACTCCAGCCTTGGCAATGGAGTGAGCCACTCTCTCAGAAAAAGCCCAGAATACAAAAAACTACAATAATAAGTGAATTTAGCAAGGTTGCAGAATACAAAACAATTACACAAACTGTGCCATTGTGTGTCCATGCATATGCACATGCACACACATAAAACAAGCAATTGGAAGAGAAAATGTTTAAAGTATATCATTTTTAGGTCAGGCACAGTGGCTCACATCTGTAATAGCACTTTGGGAGGCCTAGGTGGGCAGATCACTCGAACACAGAAGTTCAAGACCAGTCTGGGTAACAAGGCGAAACCCTGTCTCTACAAAAAATACAAAAATTAGCCAGGCATGGTGGTGTATGCGGAGTCCCAGCTACTCGGGAAGCTGTGGTAAGAGGATCACTTGAGCTCGGAGGCAGAGGTTGCAGTGAGTGGAGATCACGCTACTGCACTCCATCCTCGGTGACAAAGTGAGAACATGTCACACATACAAAAATAAATAAATAAAAAAGTATACCATTTTTAAGAGCATCAAAAATCAAAAGATGTAGATTTACTCAGATAAATTTAACAAAATACATGCAAGACTGAAAACCTGAAACATTTCTAGAATACAGAAATACATCATGTTCATATACTGGAAGGCTCAATGTTATTAAGATAGCAATTCTCCCCACATTCAATTTTAGATTCAATGTAATCTTAAGATTAGTCAGAACTTTTTAAATAGAAATTAACCACCTGATTCCAAAATGTATACAGAAATAAGGTCAAGAATAATCGAAACAATCTTTAAAAAATAAAGATGTGGGACTCACACTACCAGGAATCAATAGAAAGTTACACTAATCCAGACAGTACGATATTGACAGAAAAACAGACAATGAATGAGAAAAGTCCAGATGTAGATCCACACGTGTAAGTTCAATATTTTTTTGTTAAAAACGCACCAAGGCATTCACACAAATTATACTGAAACAAGTGGATATCCACATGGAACAACAAACCTTAATCCCTTTCCTCATATTGGACATGAAAAATAACATGAGATGGATCATGGACATAATTTTAATAAGCTAAAACTAAAAACCTTCCAGAAGAAAACATTAGGAGAGCTTCATGATCTCCTTGGGGTAGACAAAGATATTAGGCATGAACCAGAAAACACTAATAGAAATTTTTAAAATTAATAAACTGGACATGATTAAAACTAAAAACTTCCAGTTATACAAAAAAAGTTGAGAATATGAACAGGCAAACCACAAACTGAGAGAAAAATGTGCACAAAACATGTAATCTGCATAAAGGACTCATCCAGAATATGTAGGTAAATAACACCTACAACTAATAACAAAAAGACAAATAACCTAATTTTAAAATGGGCAAAAGATGTGAATACATGAGTCCAAAAGGAGATAGTCGATAACCACATTAAAAAAACAATCCTTAATAGCATTAGTTATGAGGGAAAAGACAATTAAAACCTATTTAATCTTTACAACCACTATGAAGTACTATTAACAAAGAAATACTACTATAAACCCAGTAGAATGCCTAAAACTTTAAAAACTGACAACATAAAATGTTGGTGAGGATATGGAATAACGAAAATTCTAATACACTGTTGATGTGAGTATAAAAGTACTTTGGAAGTCAGTCTGGCCAAGTATCCCATAAAGTTAAACATACAAATACCCTATTGACCCAGCAAATCCACAGCTAGGAATTTATCCAAAATAAAATCATATGTCCACAAAAAAACTCATACAATAACAGCCAAAAACTAGAAACAACTCAAATATCTATTAACTGGCGAATAATGATGTATCCAACAACAGAACAGTATTCAGCAATAAAAAGGAATGAACTGCCGGGCACGGTGGCTCACGCCTGTAATCCCAGCACTTTGGGAGGCCAAGGCAGGCGATCATGAAGCCAGGAGTTCGAGACCAGCCTGGCCAACATAGTGAAACTCCGTCTCTCCTAAAAATACAAAAGAATTAGCCAGGCGTGGTGGCAGGCGCCTGTAATCCCAGCTACTCCAGAGGCTGAGGCAGGAGAATCGCTTGAACCCAGAAGGTGGAGATCGCATTGAGCCGCAATCATGCCACTGCACTCCAGCCCAAGCAACAGCGTGAGACTCTGTCTCAAACAACAACAACAAAAAAAATGGGGAATAATCTACTGGTACAGACAACATATGATGTACCTCATAAAAATTATGCTTAATGAAACAAGCCAGTCACAAAGCCAGTATATATGGTATAATTCCATTTATATAAAGTGCTAGAACACAGAAAGCTAATTTTGGTCAAAGAAATGAGACTGTAGTCACCTTGCAGGTGGCAGGGACTGAACAGTAAGTAATAAAGTTCTATCTACTAAGCCTGCTCTCATTAATGCTAGAGCAATACTAACAGCAATGTGTTCACCTAGCACCTAGATCTTGGCTTTAGCACCCGAATCTTGGCTTTAAAATATCATTTCCTGTGGCTGGGGGTGGTGGCTCATGCCTGTAATCCCAGCACTTTGGGAGGCCAAGGTGGGCAGATCACCTGAGGTCAGGAGTTCGAGACCAGTCTGGCCAACATGATGAAACCGTCTCTACTAAAAATACAAAAATCAGCTGGGTGTGGTGACGGGTGCCTGTAATCCCAGCTACTTGGGAGGCTGAGGCACCAGAATCACTTAAACCCAGGAGGCAGAGGTTTCAGTGAGCCAAGACCGCGTCATTGCACTCCAGCCTGGGTGACAAGAGTGAGACTCCATCTCAAAATAAAAAACCATTTCCTGGCTGGGTGCAGTAGCTCATGCCTGTAATTCCAGCACTTTGGGAGACCGAGGCAGGTGGATCACTTGGTCAGTTTGAGACAGACTGACCAACATGGCGAAACCCTATCTCTACTAAAAACACAAAAAAATTACCCAGGGCTGGTGGCACATGCCTGTAATCCCAGCTACTACGGAGGCTGAGGCACAAGAATTACTTGAATCTGGGAGGCAGAGGTTGCAGTGAACCAAGATCGCACCACTGCACTCTACCTGGGCGACTGAGTGAGACTCTGTCTCTAAAATAAAATAAAATAACATTTCCTACTAAAAGAAACCAGGGATCCTTGGAGAAATGGCTGATTCCAAGGCTGGGGCAGAGACAACAGATGACAGGATGTTCCAAGGTAATCAAACTATCAAAGAATGAAGTAATTGAAAAATGAGGGGACATGTAAAAAAAATACGCAGATCTCAGCAACCACATCCAGTCACTCCACTCAGCCCTTACCAAGTATTTTCTGCATGTCAAGGAGTTTAAACACTTTACTGATATTTAACTCCATATTTAATCTTTGTAACCACTGTGAAGTACTATTAACAATGAGGAAACTCAGGCATGGAAAGTAATGCAACCAGGAATCATGAGCATATATTATTTTTCACTTGTTCTAAGTGTAAAATTTTAGCAAATTCAGAGCTGTGCCACAATCTAACTTTCAAACATTTCCATAATTCCCAAAAGAAATGTCAGGCCCATTTGTAGTTACTCTGCGCTCCACTGTGCAACCACTACTTTCTGTCTCTATGGATGTGTCTTTTCTGAACATTTCATACAAATGGAATTACACAATATATGGTGTTTTTGTTTAGTTTCTTTCACTTAGCACAATCTTTTTAAGGTTTACTGCAATAGGTATCAGAATTTCATTCCTTCTTATTGTCAAATAGTATTCCGTGGTATAGCTATACTATACTTTATTCATTTACCAGCTGATATATATCTGGGTTTCTTACATTTTTTTGGCTACTGTGAATAACGCAGCTATGAACATTCATGTACAAGTTTTTGCGTGAACATACATTTTCATTTCTCTTGAGTAGACAGATACCTGGCAGTATAACTCCTGGGTCATATAATTCATTTATGTTTAACTTCTTAAGAAACTGTCAAACCAGGAGGGGCGCTGTGGCTCACAGTTATAATCCCAACACTTTGGGAGGCCAAGCCAGGGGACTGCTTGAAGACAAGAGTTCAAGATGAGCCTGGACACATAGACACGTAGGGTCCATCTCTATGAAAAAATTTTTATAAGCCAGGCGTGGTGGCTCATGCCTGTAATCCCAGCACTTTGGGAGGCCAAGGTGGGCAGATCACCAGAGGTTGGGAGTTCAAGACCAGCCTGACCAACATGGAGAAACCGTCTCTACTAAAAATACAAAAAATTAGCCGGGCGTGGTGGCGCATGCCTGTAATCCCAGCTACACGGGAGGCTGAGGCAGGAGAATCACTAGAACCCAGGAGGTGGAGGTTGCAGTGAGCCAGGATCACGCCATTGCACTCCAGCCTGGGCAACAAGAGTGAAACTCCGTCTCAAAAAAAAAATTTTTTATAAAAATTAGCCAGGCTTGGGTGGTGCACACCTGTGGTCTCCTAGCTACCTGGCAGGCTGAGGCAGAAGGACTGCCTGAGCCCAGGGGTTGGAGGCAGCAGTGAGCTATGACCATGCCGTGGCACTACAGCCTGGGTGATAGAGTGAGACCTTCCTTGTCTCTTTAAAAAAGAAAGAAAGAAAAAAAAGGGGTGAGGGGAGGAAATGAAAGAAGAGAAGGAAGGAAAGAAAATAAAAAAGACAGAAAAGAAAATTGCCAAACTGTTTTCCAAAATAGTTATATCACTTTACATTCCCACCAGCAATATACAAGTGTTTTTTTCCACATCCTCACCAATATTTGCTATTGTTTATTATTCTTACAGGCAAAAAAGTAAAAAATATTTTTAAGAGGCTAAAACTATATATACTTATTACTTTTTGCCCCACCGTCTTTCCTTTTTATATAAAATTCTGTCACCTTTCAAACATCTACACCTTCCATGACATAAATCAAAACTGAATAAAATCTGAATATGTTCAATAAATGCAGAAAACCATACATTTGCATAAATAACTGCTCTTACATAAAATTTTACTTCAAATTTAAAATGAAAGATTATATATACACACACAGTATGTACATAACATCACTTAGAAATGGCATACATACCTAATTTTAGTTCAATTGCTGTGTTGGTGTTACATTTGTACTCTGCCAGTTTCTTCTCCACTGCACTCTTATATTCTACCAAAAATTTCTCCATAGCACCAAATCCTAAGAGAAAAGGTTTTTAAAAGGTTTAGTTTGGAAGTGACTTAAATTGTCAAACCTGCAATAGGGTTATTATAAGTGGAATAGGGGTATGATTTAAAACATGCTGATAGATCATAAAAGCACAAGTCATTCTCCACATACTCTTAAATAAATGTATTAAGAATGCCAGCTGGGCACGGTGGCTCACGCCTGTAATCCCAGCACTCTGGGAGGCTGAGGTGGGTGGATCACAAGGTCAGGAGTTCGAGGTCAGCCTCGCCAAGATGGTGAAACCCGTCTCTACTAAAAATACAAAAATTAGCCGGGCACGGTGACGGGCGCCTGTAATCCCAGCTACTTGGGAGGCTGAGGCAGGAGAATCTCTTGAACCCAGGAGGCAGAGGGTGCAGTGAGCCGAGATCATGCCACTGCCCTCTAGCCTGGGCGACAGAGCAAGACTCCATCTCAAAAAAAAAAAAAAAAAAAAGAATGCCTCATTACAAAACAGAAAAAGAAATCACTTTTGAGATACAGGCTTATAAACTAGGAATACTTAATATAAATGAATAAACCTGAAAATTAACATGATAGATTACTAACATTTCTGAACATGTACTAATACAAATTACCTGCTAGGATTTATACCTAAGTCGTCTTTTTCATTATAAGATGTAAAAAGCAAAATGAGAATGTCCTCTGATAATTATGACAGAATTTCATTTTAAGTATTGGAAAAAGTCTACCAGAGTGCTTCAGATAAGGAAATGATAATGCATGGAATGTCTCAAGAAGAATACACAAATATCTGGTAACCATAGTTACCATGGGTAAAGAAAGAAGGAAGAGGAACAGGGGCACAAAGAAAACATCTTTCCACTGTATTAAATATTTAAAAATCATGTATGCCTAAAGTCATAAACTGTGAGCTACTGGCACAATAGTTTTACTACATAGTGGCTACTCAATAATATACATAATAAATAACATTGGAAGATATCACTATCAAGAGAAACTTTCAAGATAACAAATCTCCTGACAAAATGGGCATATGATTAGTAAAAATGGGCTGGGCGCGGTGGCTCACGCCTGTAATTTCAGCACTTTGGGAGGCCGAGGCAGGGGGATCGCGAGGTCGAGACGGATATCATCCTGGCCAACATGGTGAAACCCCATCTCCACTAAAAATACAAAAATTAGCTGGACGTGGTGGCGCGTGACTGTAGTCCTAGCTACTCCGGAGGCTGAGGCAGAATTGCTTGAATCCAGAAGGCAAAGGTTGCCGAGATCGCGCCACTGCACTCCAGCCTGGTGACAGAGCGAGACTCAGTCTCCAAAAAAAAAAAAAATCAGTAAAAATTCAGACAGAAAAAAGCCATAAGCAAAAAATAAAAAGGGGTACAATGATGTGCTATAAACTTCAAAAAGGGGTTAAAACACACACACAGAAAATGGGAAAGACTTGAAGCAGTACAGATTAATAGTCTGGAGTGAGAATTCCTGGATTCTGACTATTTCACACACTTACTGAGCTAGTAAGCTCAGGGAACTAGAGCACATTACTTAACCCCTCTGACCCTAATCTACAGAACCGAGATTACAGAATTTACTTCGAGGAATGTAAGCAACAAAATTTAACCTGTGAAATCATATATTAGCTCAATCTGCACAATTCTATAAGTAGGTATTACATCAACCCCATTTTACATTCAAAAGTTCAGGCTTAGAAAGAGGTTTAGTTGAAGGGCATCCAACTACTAAATGATGGGCCCAAAATTCGAATTTAGATGTAATTCTTAGAGTACGTCCTCCCTCTTCTGTGGTACTTCAAGATCCTACAATCTCCATCTGGTAGAAAAGTCCTTCTTTAAACATCTGTAGAGCTCACACAACAGCTTGTCTATCCCACATATTCATAAAAATGGAATGGTTAATGTGGAGAGACTATGAGGAATGCCCTGTAAAGAGATGATAAAAGCAACAAAGGCCAGCGAAGTGGCTCAATCCTGTCATTCCAACACTTTGGGAAGCTGAGGCGAGAGGATGGCTTGAGGCCAAGAGTTCCAGACCGGCCTGAGGCAATACAGCCAGACTCTGTCTCTAAAAGGTTAAAAAAAATTGTTTTTTTTTAGCCGAATGTTGTGGCGCATGCCTGTAGTCCTAGCTACTCGGGAGGCTGAGGCAAGAGGATCGCTTGAGCCTACGAGGAGTTGGAAGCTGCCCGGAACTATGATCGCTGCACTCCAGCCTGGGCGACAGAGAGACCCTGTCTCAGGAAAAAGAAACTGTCCATAACTTCAAAAGATAAGTAATCGAAAAAAATAATCACACCAAAACAGCCTTAATACACGTACAAAGTAATAGCAATTATACATTATTAAATGTTGTAACTTGAAGGGTCTCTAGAATGTACACAAGAGAATTGTATTATAGTAGTCCAACCCTAAAAGAGAAGGGAGCAGTTCAGGAACAAAGTCTTTCTCAAAGGGCATCTAAATACGATCCTCGGAATACTAAAGTGTGACAGATTAACGAGACGACTACGAAGTCAGTCGAGATCCAAGTGGGAGCGCCAGAGCAGGGCAAGGCAGCAATGCGCTAGCTCAGAAGTTGACTGTAGTGGAAGGTAGACGGAGACCTGGAAGAGGAGGAGGATCTGAGCATTAAAATCAGCTGGCGGGAACAGGACCAGATGTACAAGAGCTGAAGCAAGCAGCAGTGGACAAAAGGAATGGGAAGAGAAACAGGCCCCAAGGCATGTGGCATTTTACGAGCCCAAATCATGACGCTTTTCCCTGGCGTCTTCGGCCCTCGGTAGGGGCCGGATTGCTGGCAGAAGGCGCAGAACCCCAAGCAGTTGGGGGCGGGGGCGCGGACCGCCGCCAACAAGGAGCTGCTGGGCTGAGAGTTCCGCGCTTCCGGTCCCAAGCAGGCCTTCTGGAACCCAGGCTACAGCCCGAAAGTTCTAGGCGGGCATTGTCACCACCGTCTCGGCGTTCTATCCCCGATCTGGCCGCCTCCTCCCCTTGGTAAACTTTTCCCGGTAACTTACCCGCCATTTCCGAGCTACGATCACCCGCGGCTGAGGAAGGACGAATCAACCCGCGCGCTCCCGGGCCGGAAGTGACCGCACAGTCTGACATATTTTCCCCGCCCACTCCCAGCGTGACGTTAGCCAATTAAAGGAGGCGTGTCCAGGAGCCCGGCGGCGGAAGCGCCTCAAGAGGCGGGGCTAACGCCGAGAAGTCTGCGCGGGCCGTTGCCTAGCCACTGCGAATGCCGTCAGCCGCTTTGCAGGCCTGAAGTGGAGAAGGAGGCCGCAAACGGACTTTCGCGGTTGAGATGCTCTCTGGCCCTAGGAAAGTTTCTCTGGGGTTGATTTGATCAATACAGACACTTTACGCCTGTTTTCCATACCCGTCCCTGAGATGTTTTGGAGACTGGCTGAAAATCTTTCCTCTTGGCCTGGACAGTGCATCCAAACACCTGAGCCCTGTGGGCAATTTTACCATTTTACCTAGGTAAAATGTAGAGGTTGAGTTTCAGTTGCGGGAGAAGCTTTCACTTGTTTTCCTCATTTGTTTCTCATTTTGCTGTAAACTTTAACACCTTTTTTCCTTTCTCCCCTGTTTTTAACGTATACAGTATGATATTTAGGTACTCTGCTTTCACTCTGCAGGTTACTAAGAACCGTTTAGCGCGCAAAAATCGTTACCTAGGCCGGGCGCGGTGGCTCACGCCTATAATCCCAGCACTTTGGGAGGCCGAGGCGGGTAGATTGCCTGAGCTCAGGAGTTCGAGACCAGTGTAGCCAACATAGTGAAACCCCGTCTCTACTAAAAATACAAAAATTAGCCAGGCATGGTGGCAGGCGCCTGTAATCCCAGCTACTCGGGAGGCTGAGGCAGGAGAATCGCTTGAACCCTGGAGGCGAAAGTTGCAGTGAGCCGAGATTGCGCCACTACACTCCAGCCTGGGCAACAGAGTGAGACTCCGTCTCAAAAAAAAAAAAAAATTGTTACCTAATAAATACCTCAAGTAGCCTGATGTAGTCTTGCATGCCACATGTCCTAGTGGTTTGAATTACATCACAAGGTGCTACCTGATTTTAGCCATAGGCCTTGTTAGTATTTAGTAGCTGTAGGAACTGCTTTCCCCAGAGGATAAACCACTATTTAGGTATCCACAAATATTCCCACAATGTTGGCTATACACCAGAATTCCTTATCTCAACAAATATTTGTTAACAGGTTTTACAGTGATGCACGCTAAAGCTAAAATGGACCCTTGGGATGATGGTCTAGAACTAACACGCCCTCTCATTTTAGAGATGAGGAAACCAAAGCCCAGAAAAGATAAACTGCCCAAGTTCATTCTCAGTATGCAACCTATGCAGAGTGCAGTTCATCAGATACTCAGCCCAGTATTTATTTGCTCAACTATATAGAGATGGCTTTCCTGAAGATAAAGATCAGAAAAGGTACTGAGAATGCCCAGATCCTTTTTCTTTCTTTTTTTTTTTTTTTTTTTTAGACGGAGTTTCACTCTTGTTGCCCAGGCTGGAGTGCAATGGCACAATCTCAGCTCACCACAGCCTCCGCCTCCCGGGTTCAAGCGATTCTTCTGCCTCAGCCTCCTGAGTCGCTGGGATTACAGGCATGCGCCACCACACCCAGCAATTTTGTATTTTTGTAGAGACGGGGTTTCTCCATGTTGGTTAGGCTGATCTCGAACTCCCAACCTCAGATGATCTGCCCATCTCGGCCTCCAAAAGTGCTGGGATTACAGTCGTGATCCCAAGAAAAGGTTTCAAGATCCTTTTTCTTGAAACCTAATGATACACAAGAAATTACAGTCATAGGCCGGGCGTGGTGGCTCACGCCTGTAATCCCAGCACTTTGTGATGCCGAGGCGGGCGGATCACGAGATCAGGAGATCCAGACCATCCTGACTAACATGGTGAAACCCTGTCTCTACTAAAAATACAAAAAAAGTAGCCGGGCGTGGTAGCGGGTGCCTGCAGTCCCAGCTACTCAGGAGGCTGAGGCAGGAGAATGGCGTGAACCTGGGAGGCGGAGCTTGCAGTGAGCCGAGATCCCGCCACTGCACTCCAGCCTGGGCAAGAGCGAGACCCCGTCTCAAAAAAAAAAAAAGAAATTACAGTCATAATGTTAAGACAGAAAACTGAAATCAATGAGACTAATGACATTATGGATCAAAAAAGGAAAACAATCTTTTTCTTTAATAATCATTTTTGGCTAGGCACGGTGGCTCACACCTGTAATCCCAGCACTTGGGAGGCCAAGGCAGGCAGATCACCTGAGGTCAGGAGTTTGAGACCAGCCTGGCCAACATGGTAAAACCCTGTCTCTACTAAAAAGTACAATAAATTAACCAGGCGTGGTGACATGAGCCTGTAATCTCAACTACTTGGGAGGCTGAGGCAGTAGAATCGCTTGAACCCAGGAGGCGGAGGTTGCAGTGAGCTGAGATAGTGCCACTGCACTCCAGCCTGCTCAAGAGAGCGAGACTCCATCTCAAAAAAAAAAAAAAACTTTTCTTTTCAAAATGGCAAGACTTATCATTTCTTTCCAAAATCACCTTATCTATGGATCAATTGCTGACCAGCAATTATGATCTTTATAAGTAAGAAATCAAGAAGAATTACGTTTTAACTGTGGTATATCACAGATTATTAGTCCTGTGATATTATGGTTAGTTGTAGGAAAAAAATATGATGAAACTTACTGATATATTGTATGACTAGCATTTAATGTGATTTGCTTGCAGAATTGAGGTTTTATATTGTCCTCGTCTTAGATGTTCACTTTTTTTTTTTTTTTTTTTTTTTGAGACAGGGTCTCACTCTCACCCAGGCTGGATTGCAATGATGCAATCATAGCTCACTACAGCCTCCAGCCTCCAACTGCTGGGCTCAAAAGATCCTCCTGCCTCTCAGCCTCCCAAATAGCCAGGACTACAAATGTGTGCCATTGTGCACAGCTAATTTTTTTGTTTTTTGTAGAAATGGAGTCTCAGTATGTTGCCCAGGCTGGTCCCAAACTCCTGGCCTCAAGCAATCCTCTCAGCTTGGCCTCCCGGAATGCTAGGATAATAGGTGTGAGCCACCATGTCCATCCTCACATTTTTTTTTTTTAATGTTACAGAATAGATGTTTTGGTACAGTTTACCTAAAAGATAAAAGAATGACTTATTTTGGAAAGGTAATGTGAAAATTACCCAAAAGGAAAAAAATTCTCTTTTTTTTTGTAGGGATTTCTTTCCTTTTTTAACTTATATTTTACTTTGTTCTAAAGAGAATTTAAGAAAGCAACTATTACAATCATGGAATAAAATTTCTATGAAAGGAATATGCTATCCTCATATATATATGGAAGAGACAACATATCTTGTGGGAAGTTTACTGCCCTACTAGTCCCAGTTCTACTACTTCATGCTTGTTCAACCTTGTTGCATCTATTAAGTGGAGATAATAGTACTGCCCAGTCACCACACTGGGTTGCTGTAAAAACTAAACGGAATAATATTTGTGAACGACCTTTGTAAACTCTAAAACTCTATGCAGGTATGAAGTGGTATTACTATGATAACATTTATTCTAGTAAGGGAGATTTGGAAAAGGCATTTTCTTCAGAGAAAAGGGCCATATTACACTATTAGGTATGAACTGGCAACCATGTGTTGGTACAGGCTCAAGTTCATATGGACTGATAAACTTCACTATCTTGCTTTGAAACCTCCAGAATGGATTAAAATTTGGCACAAAAAAATATGGTCATCGGGCCGGGCGCAGTGGCTCATGCCTGTAATCCCAGCACTTTGGGAGGCCGAGGCAGGCAGATCACGAGGTTAGGAGATCGACAGCATCCTGGCTAACACGGTGAAACCCCGTCTCTACTAAAAACACAAAAAATTAGCCAGGCGTGGTGGCGGGCGCCTGTAGTCCCAGCTACTTGGGAGGCTGAGGCAGGAGAATGGCATGCACCCAGGAGGCGGAGCTTGCAGTGAGCCGAGATCATGCCACTGTACTCCAGCCTGGGAGACAGACTCCGTCTCAAAATATATATATATATATATGGTCATCAGAAAATTGATGCAGGAAATCAATTTTAAGAAAAATGCATGTATGTAATGTGTCTTCATTTCAAAATGCATACCTTTACACAGACAAATAACAGTAGTTAGTTAGCTCATTTTTTTAGCTCGTAGTGCTAATGAGCATAAAGTTATGAGTCTCAGTTCCCAGAGCAATTATCCAGAAACCATTATCCAGCTAGATGACTTCCAAATGGGATACAAGAAAGAAAATAGGCTGGGCGCGGTGGCTCACGTCTGTGATCCCAGCACTTTGGGAGGCCGAGGCAGGCAAATCACATGAAGTCAGGAGTTCGAGACCAGCCTGGCCAACGTGGTGAAACTCCATCTCTACTGAAAATACAAAAATTAACCGGGTGTGGTGGCATACACCCGTAATTCCAGCTACTCAGGAGGCTGAGGCAGGAGAATTGCTTGAGCCCGGGAGACGGAGGTTGCAGTGAGCCGAGATCCCGCCATTGCACTCCAGCCTGGGCGACAGAGCGAGTCTGTCTCAAGAAAAAAAAAAAAAGGAAAGAAAGAAAATAAAAATGGACCGGCTCATGTTGAAAACTACTGTAAGAGGACCCCTATCCTAAATACACAAAAATTACCAACAGTCTTTATTTTCCAACTCTAATGTACTACCCATACGTGTATAAATTAGTAACTTTTGAGGGGCAATTTAGAAATTTTAACACATTTTTACAAATGTAACAAAATTTTCAATTTGTGTATCCTTTGAGGCAACAACAGTTCCACTTTTAAGCATTTGTACTGCAAAACTATTTCACAGAAATGCAAAGATACACTAAAACAAAGATGTTCAATGCTGTATTATTTTCACTGGCAAGTTGAAAATAGCCTAAACTACTAGCACAAGGGGCTGGCTAATATGTTCTATCTCCTATACAATAGGCTAAAAAATAAATTACAAAAAATATAATGTTATTTCATTTATATAAAAATATATTTTGATATAAACAGAAAACATCTGAAAGCATACCTCACAAACTTAACTATAGTTGCCTTTAGGGGGAATTTAGAGATGGGGATTAATGAGGTTTTTTGTTTTTGTTTTTGTTTTGGAGACAGAGTCTGCCCAGGCTGGAGTGTAGTGGCATGATCTCGGCTCACTGCAATCTCCACCTCCTAGGTTCAAGCAATTCTCCTGCCTTAGCCTCCCGAGTAGCTGGGGCTACAGTGAGCATCCGCCACCACACCCAGCTAATTTTTGTAATTTTAGGGTTTCACCATGTTGGCCAGGCTGTTCTGGAACTCCTGACCTCAAGTGATCTGCCTCCTTGGCCTCCCAAAGTGCTGGGATTATAGGCGTGAGCCACCGCGCCCAGCCTAATGAGTTTTTTTATTCTTTAATACCATTTGTCTCTTTCAATGATGATGTATTGGTTTCTTTCACAGTTAGAAACTTATCCATCTGGCTGCGCGTGGTGGCTCACACCTATAATCCCAGCACTTTGGGAGGCCAAGGTGGGCAGATCGCCTGAGGTCCGGAGTTGGAGACCAGCTTGACCAACATGGAGAAATCCCATCTCAAAGAAAAATACAGAATTAGCCGGGTGTGGTGGTGCATGCCTGTAATCCCAGCTACTCGGGAGGCTGAGGCAGGAGAATCACTTGAACCCGGGAGGCAGAGGTTGCGGTGAGCCAAGATCACGCCATTGCACTCCAGCCTGGGTAACTAGAGCAAAATTCCGTCTCAAAAAAAAAAAAAAAAGAGAAACTTATCCATCTTTTTGGAGGTTTTTAGACATGGTTGCTAACTCCCTATCCTCTTCTCTACATTCGACGTATTATGGTACACAGACTCTAAGGGAAGCAATTTAATCAAAACTAGGAACAATTAGTTGAAAACTAATATTTTCCATTTTGCATTTTGTCATTATTTACAAGCAAAGATTGGCCAAAATAACAAGCACTATAATTATTTATACCTGTTTTCAAAATGACTGTCCAGTGATGCCTGCTTTACTTTTGGAAACTAATTTATTAGAATGGCATTAATTATGTATTTGTCTACTTTTGGTAGGTAATACAATAATAACTGTGATATTATACATTCTATCATTAAAATGCTATTTTAAGTATTATTATTATTTTATTTTTTTTTTTTGAGACGGAGTCTCACTCTGTCGCCTCTGTCCCAAAGTGCTGGGATTACAGGTGTGAGCCACCGCACCAGGCCATTGTCTTTCTTTTAATGTAAAAAAACACATAACATATAACTTACCATGTTAACTATTTTTAAGTTTATAGTTCAGTAATATTAAGAATATATTCACCTTGTTGTGAAATCTGTCATTTTAATAGGTTGGTTTTCAGTCAACTCCTTTGTAACCTATTTACCTATATCACTATGTACAGCAGGAGTTTTAACTTCCCATGATGTGGACACACAAAGTAACAAGGTTTATACCAACTGTATAATGGTGCTAGTTCAGTGTTTAGTTCATAAACCTTAAAAGAATAAAAATAAAGTTTAGTTTTATGGTAGTGTTTTCTCTAATTCTTTTTACAAATTGGAGTTTTGAGGGACTATATGAAGTCAACAAGCTAAATCAACCACTGTGCAAGTTAGTGAAAATTAAAGAGATTTTTTTCAAAAATTTTCTAGGGGGATCCAGACTTTAAGGTTAACTTCATTAATCGCATAAACACAGGGCCAGTCCCTTTGCCAGTCAGTTGAATGAATTAAGAGGAAGAAAGTCATACTGACTGGCATCACATGACACAAAGAGAACCTGCTTTATCAGGTAAGAAGGGTGAGTCGGTAGGGGTAGGATGCATTTAAAGAATAAAAGATTTGCTTTTTAAAATCTTTTCAAAATTAAATTTTGTTTTATATGAGGAAGTCAGTGTTAGTATAGATAGGATTTTATTTTTTAATATAGTTTAAGAGAAACTAAGGCAGTTGAATAATACAGAATCAGGAATTTTAGAGCCAAGTGGCTTTAGAAATCAGATAATCTCGTCATTATGATACATTTTTATTTGGCACACATATGTGTAACAACTTTTGGTCATATCTCCTTAAAAATGTATGCTTTTTACTACTGTTAATTCACATATTAAATATTACTATTAATGTTTTATTTTTTAGACAAAAAAGATCATAAATACTCACTTTTAATACTATTTTTTTTTTTTTTTTGAGATGGAGTCTCACTCTGTTGCCCAGGCTGGAGTGTAGAGGCATGATCTTAGCACACTGCAACCTCTGCCTCCCAGGTCCAAGGGATGGGCCCACCTCAGCCTCCCGCCTCCTGAGTAGCTGGGATTATAGGCGCATACTACCACGCCCGGCTTTTTTTCGGGTGTGTGAGACAGAGTCTGGATCTATTGCCCAGGCTGGAGTGCACTGGCACGATCTTGGCTCACTGCAACCTCCACCTCCTGGGCTCAAGCAATCCTCCTGCCTCCCGAGTAGCTGGGACTATAGGCACGTACCTATAGGCCCGGCACCATGCCCAGATAATTTTTTGTACTTTTAGTAGAGATGGGGTTTCACTATGTTGGCCAGGCTGGTCTTGAACTCCTGATCTCAAGTGATCAGCCCAGCTCAGCCTCCCAAAATGCTAGGATTACAAGCATGAACCACCGTGCCTGGCCCCAGCTAATTTTTTTATTTTTAGTAGAGATGGGATTTCACCATGTTGGCCAGGCTGGTCTCAGACTTCTGACCGCAAGTGATTTGCCTGCCTCGGCCTCCCAAAGTGCTGGGATTACAGGCATAAGCCACTGTGCTCAGCTGCATTTTTAATACTTTCTGTCCCAGTAGATCACTTGTGCACCCGTGAAGGTCCCTGCCTTAATTTCACACTCTCGATTATCAGTAAGAAACTGATAAGCTGATATTATGGCCCAAGTCTCTCAAATGGTTCTGTTTTTCTACTTTTTTTCTTCCCCTTTCATGTTGTAGAAAGGGCCAATTTGCTGCCTTTACTTTGCAGAGAAAGTCACTGTGTCTGACATATGGTTGATACCTATTAAATGTTTGTTAAATGACTGCGTAGTAATACCAAGAACATATTTTTCCTCCCAAATAACTAAGCTTTCACTGTTGTTTAAGTATTTCACAGCTCTTGAGATTGAAAACTGCTAAGTTTCTTTGCTTTAAAAAACATCCTTAAGCATGTGATTAGAATCAGGGACTAAAAAGTGTCTCATCCACGTTTAACCCATTACTACCAACACATGTGTAACACAGGCCTTGCCCTCTGAATGTCACCAGGGAATAGCTGTGGCGGAAGGTGAGTAAGCAACACAATTTCCAAGAGGTGATCTTTTGCCACAGTAAATTGTATCCCTGGTACAATAGCTCTAAAGAGACAATTTTCTGGGACATGGGAGTATTCTTGGAGACAAGCCCACCAGTAGCTCTGGATTTCCCTAGACAATTTTAACTCAGATTAGGTTCCAGCTTTCTTACCAAGCTCTAAGAAAGCCTGGCTATTCCCCATCAGGAGCTTACCCTCCTTCTCTCTACCCTTCAATCAATTAAGCACCTGAACATTCAAACACTAAATGTAAACTGTCATCTTCCCAGATCCAGAGACCTGTTCGGAATACATTTATGGAATCAAGGAGAGGTACTGGGCAATTGATACAGTGAATATAATATCCTTCCTCCTCTTCTCCTCGGGTTTCCCACAACAAACAGGAACACGCTGCTGTACCATGCAGCAGTCCCACATTTCACCCTGAGTAAGACTTTTTTTTTTTTTTTTTTTGAGACAGAGTCTTGCCCTCTCACTTCTCTCCAGCAGGCTTCATTGAGGCTTGCTGTTTTGAGGGCCTGCTATGTTCATTCACCAAGGTAGGCCTGCTTATCACAGAAGGACTGCCTCAACTTTCTGATCTGTCCTTCTGGGGATAATGGTGAATCATTACCTTCTCTACTTTTAAGCTTATTTGCTCCTTATTGATAACTTCTCTGTTAGGTTCAGGGTCAGGTTCCAGCCCATGCTGAGGTCCGGAGGGAGCAGGTGGATTGAAACCACCTTTGCAAAATTATGACTGGGACAGTGAAAGAGGTTTAACTTAACTGACTCCATTTTGCTTTTAACCTCCAAGCTGTCCTTGTTCATTCCTGGGCGTAGGCTGAACTAACTTTGGGAGAAACTTTATAGTTTAATCAAAGACAGTAACAGCCCTTTCCCAAAGCAGACCTCCTCCTTGCCTGGGGACTAGATTGCCTTAGTAGGACTAACATTAGCCACAAGATTAGAAATTATGGTTTAGGAGTCATGCAGCTGGAGGCTACAAGATTCTGACCCTCCGTAAACTGCTTTTAAGATCAGTGCTTGAGATATTTTGCAAACCCTGCACTTGATGGATCAGCTGGCCCCACCCAGATCAATAAACTGGCCCATCTGATTTTGTGGCCCCCACCCAGGAACTGACTGAGCGCAACAAGACAGCTCTGACTCCCTATGATTTCATCTCTGATCAATTAGCACTCCTGGCTCACTGGCTTCCCCCCACCCACCAAGGTATCCTTAAAAACTCTGCTCCCGGAATGCTCAGGGAGACTCATTTGAGTAATAATAAAACTCCTGGCCGGGCGCGGTGGCTCACGCCTGTAATCCCAGTACTTTGGGAGGACGAGGCGGGCGGATCACGAGGTGAGGAGATCGAGACCATCCTGGTTAACACGGTGAAACCCCATCTCTACTAAAAACACAAAAAATTAGCTGGGCATGGTGGCGGGTGCCTGTAGTCCCAGCTACTCAGGAGGCTGAGGCAGGAGAATGGTGTGAACCGGAGAGGTGGAGCTTGCAGTGAGCCGAGATTGCGCCACTGCACTCCAGCCTAGGCGACAGAGCGAGACTCCATCTCAAAATAATAACAATAATAATAGTAATAATAATAAAACTCCAGTCTTCCACACAACCGGCCCTGCGTGAATTACTCTTTCTCAATTGCAATTCCCCTGTCTTGATGAATTGGCTCTGTCTAGGCAGCGGGCAAGGTGAACCCCTTGGTCGGTTACAGGATGAGTGGCAAATAGGTGGAAGAACACTCGGGGGGCTGTAGGCAGGTGAAATACGGCTTTATTCAGCAGCTCTCTTACACTGTCTGCTCTGTCCGGGCTGCTTGAGCCTGTGGCTCCCATGCACAGTGGCGCCAGCCGCCTCTCCCTTGCTTTCAGGGTCAGCAGCTTAACTTTTTCTCTCTCTGAGGACAAGCAAGTCTAGCTGTGTCCTGGATCCCTCCTGTCCATCTGTAAGATGGACAGCTTTGGCTCGCTCTCTTTCTCTGGGTGCGAGCATGCCTGTACGGTGTCAGTAGGGCATTTATACCTTTTACAGACAATGTGGTGTAGAACCAAGTGATGGCCTTCCTATGTTATGGCTACATGGCTGTGATAACAGGTGGAGTTATACGCCTGCGCTCTAAACTCTCTGAGTCACTCTGGATAGTTACCTTGGCCCCTCCTTGACCAAAGCACAGCCATTTCCTTATACTCTACAAGGCTGGATCTATGTTATCTTCATCCCTGAGTTCTCACTTGAAGTGAGAGCAATTCTTTTAACTAACATTTACTAAAGACTTTTATTCAGATTAATTGTTGTATTGAATACATTATTTAAGTTTGCCCATATCTTCTCTTCTTAGGCCCCCTCTCAGGTTTCTTTATCCCCTTCCTTCCCTGCCTGATCCTTAAGGACAATCCCTATATAAATGGAATGATCTATTTACCCCGAGATACTGGGTTATATTCTCATTAACTGAATCTTATCTAAAAATATGAATGTGACTTTTTAAAAAACATGTAATATTCTGAATACTTGGAGAAATGAAAATTTTCATTTAAAAAAGTAATAAAATTTCAAAAGGTTTCTAAAATCTTTTAAAATATTAACAGATAATTATAACTTTTTTTTTTTTTTGAGACTGAGTCTCACTCTATTGCCCAGGCTGGAGTGTGATGGCGTGATCTTGGCTCACTGCAACCTCTGCCTCCCAGGTTCAAGTGATTCTTGTGCCTCAGCCTCCTGAGTAGCTGGGATTACAGGTGCCCGCCAACATACCCAGCTAATTTTTGTGTTTTTAGTAGAGACGGGGTTTCACCGTGTTGGCCAGGCTGGTCTCGAACTCCTGACCTCAAGTGATCTGCCCGCCTCAGCCTCCCAAAGTGCTGGGATTACAAGGGTGAGCCACTGCGCCCAGCCTATAACATTTTGTTTTATGCCAGCTTTGTTAAGGAAGGATCGCAAGAAAGACCAGAAATAATTTTTTTTTTCTTTTTTTTTTTGAGACAGAGTCTTGCTCTGTCGCCCAGGCTGGAGTGCAGTGATGCCATCTCAGCTCACTGCAACCTCCACCTCCCGGGTTCAAGCAATTCTCCTTCCTCAGCCTTCTGAGTAGCGAGGATTACAGGCGCCTGCCACCACGCCCAGCTAATTTTTGTATTTTTAGTAGAGATGGGGTTTCACCATCTTGGCCAGGCTGGTCTCGAACTCCTGACCTTGTGATCCACCTGCCTCAACCTCCCAAAGTGCTGGGATTACAGGTGTGAGCCACTGTGCCCAGCCAAGAAATTTTCTTTTTCAAAAATGTGTGGCTGCAAACCTACATTGTCCTTGGATGTGTAGAAGTCCTGCTGAGCTAAATTGTATGTTTCTTTCATTTGGTAAAGATGTTTGCTATTTTTTCCTTTGCATGTGGACTTTGAAGTTATTTTATTCTCATATTTTGAAGTTCGTATTGTACTTTTGAGTAAATATAGGACTGCAGCAGGGAGATGACAAATGTCCAATTCATTCAAATAGTATCAGTATGACTTAATTTCCTTAGGTTTTGCTTTGCTTTTTGTTAAATGAAATAGATTATATGTTTAAATACCAAATGACAATTTTATTTACTACTATAAGGTTTAATTATATATGAGTACATATCTAACCACAAATGAAAATTGTGTTGTATATTTAGTATATTACAACACATCCATTTACTAAAGGTAGAAAGATAATTATCTAAATCATGTGACAGATAAGAACAATAGCTGTGATTTGAAAGGGTCATTCTTTGATAAACCTCATTATTTTTATGCTGTTTAGTTCATATGTATTTTTCACTGGGGTCATACAAGGTTGAGATTTTTTAAAAAAAATGATAACCATGAACATTTAATCTTTTTTTGTGCCAGTCTTGAGGTTAAGGCACTCCTACATATGAGATCAGTGTACCACAAGTAGTTCCAGGAGATTCTTACCTTGCTCCAGTGCCCTAAAATGTTTCAGTGTGGGAGGAAGACTTCATAAATTAGAGTCCTCATACAAATATTACCAATGATGTTATAGAAATTGGAGTGAGATAGAATGGGTTAGGATAGATGATTTCACATCAGGTGGGCCAAAGGAATCTTCACTGGAAGGCTCAAAGACATGTTCTCTGAAATATCTGCAATATTAACAATTATATGTATGGACTCCCTGCAAACTGGAATGATTGCAGATAACGGGAAAAGTCAAGCAAAATACTCAATTTTTAATGGAAAAGGGAGGAACTGAGGGATCATGCTCTGTTTAGTCTGCTTCTTTGCAAGACTATAGTGTTAAATCTTTGAAAAACAATAACCAGCCCCCACAAGAAAACCCCTGCAATTTATAGATCCACAGAAGGTAGCCAAGTATCCATCATCTAACATAGGTTTGTGAAAAGCAATCATGCTAAATAAACCTATTTTACATCTTAAACAAATAAATAACACAAAGAAGTATTATAGTACGTTTGATTAGATATGTGGTCATTGCTGACCCTATGCAAAATTGTGATTTAGGGAAAATTCAAGTATCTGCTCCAGACTTTAATATATTCAGATTATTTATACAATTGTGCTTATCACATACATACAATTTCAAGTTCTGATTCATTCACTTAACTTATGTAATAAACTATTTTCTACTCATACTTTTATGCGACCAGATTACTAAGGAATCTGAACTTGGTGGAGATTCAAAAATAAAATGTTTTCTTTTTCTCAAGTCACTGTTTCCTCAGTACTGTGTTGAATATCCTTTCCCCCCAGGCAGATTCCATAGTTTTCTGGTCTTCTTCTCTTTTTTTTTTTTTTTTTTTGAGATGGAGTCTCACTCTGTCACCCAGGCTGAAATGCAGTGGCACGATCTCAGCTCACTGTAACCTCCACCTCCCACGTTCAAGTGATTCTCCTGCCTCGGCCTTTGGAATAGCTGGGACTACAGGCACGCACCACTACACCTGGCTGACTTTTGTATTTTTAGTAGAGGTGGGGGGTTTCACCATGTTGGCCAGGCTGGTCTCGAACTCCTGACCTCAGATTATCCACCGGCCTCGGCCTCCCAAAGTGCTGGGATTACAGGTATGAGCCACCGTGCCCGACCAGCTTTCTGGTCTTTTAAGTTATTCGAAGTCTAGCATGGACTACTTTAAAACTTCAGAATTTTAAACTTGGACTAGTTTTAAAACTTCCCCATTGCTGGCCAGATTTGTAGCCATAGGGACCTGAGATGTGTAATAGATCCTGGTCAATTTTTTATGCATTCTCCCTCTCTAAGCTCCTTAAGATTGGGTTGGGGGCAGGTGGGGGGTGGTATCTGGTTCTAGGATATTTCTTCGTTTTTTTTTTTTTTCAAGGCTAACTCCTCCAGGTTAGGGGTTAGAAGTAGGAATAGAGAAGAAATGAATCTTGCTACTTAACTATATTCACTTTTGGTCATCTCTACTTCTCCAGCTGACATTGATCATCGATGTTCTTACTGCCTCTTAGATAGCATGCATTCTTAATTACTTCAATGAGCCTACAGGGGCCTCCGCATTATACCAATTTCCTGACAAGGAAACTCTGGCTCCTTGCTGCTGTGGTCTCCTGTCAGTAGGCCTTGTTTTTGGGTGGAATACTGTAAAGGCAATTCAAGCCCCAGTATCTTACAGGTTTCACTTGCCTGTAAGAAATTCACATACCATCTCTTGTGTGGCAATCAGTGTTGCTAACACAGTGACCACACATAGTCCCACACCTATCATATCATCAGAGGATGATGAAATTTGAAATGTTAGCCAATGCCAATGCTCTTCGTATGAGGTACAGGTGGAATAAGGATCAAGAATAATGTAAAATGAAGCTGCTATTGAACTCTACTTCTGTGGGTGATTATGAGGCCTAAGTTGATAATCATAACTTCCTTTTTCCACCCCTCATTCTGTGTCCCCTCATTTCTGTAAGCACCTTGACTATGTTTTATTCTTTAGTACAGTGTCCCAAACCCTAATTTCCAAATGGTCTGAGTGCACTATGGTCTTACTTCTGTTGGATTGGCTGTCTCTACTGAGTTGCCTCAGTTGGGATTCAGACGTAGTCATCCTTGCCTCATTGTATAGTAACAACCCAGTTTCTCCTTGATATTGGGGATTAATCACCACTTGGCTGTGGTGACCCTTTTCTACCTCTAGTTTTGCAGCTGAAGAAGCCCAAAATCTCCAGGAGGCAGTTTCAGTTTCCAATTCATCTGACCCATGATGGTGTTTCTTGGTGGAAGCATTTCTTCCTTGGACACTAGGGCCTCAAAATCTGTGAGCCCAAGGTTGTGGGGAAAAGAGGCAAAAATTTCTCCAGTGGAGGCCAGGCGTGGTGGCTCATGCCTGTAATCCCAGCACTTTCAGAGGCCGAGGCTGGTGGATCATGAGGTCAGGAGTTGAAGACCAGTCTGACCAATATGGTGAAATGCCGTTTCTACTAAAAATACAAAAATTAGCTGGGCATGGTGGCGTGCACTTGTACTCCCATCTACTCGGGAGGCTGAGGAAGGAAAATCTCTTGAACCCGGGAGGCGGAGGTTGCAGTGAGCCAAGATCACACCACTACATTCCAGCCTGGGAGACAGAGCAAGATTCCGTCTCAAAAAAAAATTTCTCCAGTGGATTATTTCGTGAGATAATGAGAGGGGCTGTTTTCACCTCCTCCTGTTTTTTTTTTTTGTTATTGTGTTTTTTTGTTTTTTTTTTCTCTTTTTATCTCCAATGTTCTGATATTTCAAAATGTGCCTTGGTATGGAGCCTTTCTTATTCATTGTTTTGGGTACACAGAGAACACTTTGAATACTCATCTTTTGGATATGAAAAGTTCTCTTGCGTTGTTTATTTGATAATTTCTTTTCTATCATGCTAAATTTCTATTTCCCCCAGACTTCTTAGAATTCAATTATTGGGCCCCCTGGATTAGTTCTTTGTATTTAAATCCTTTCCCTCTCTTTCTTGGTGTATTGCTCTACTTTCTGAGAGATTTTTCACAATGTTTTCATTATTATTCTTTTTATAACTTTATTACCATTTATTAGTTTTATAACCTTGGGAAAGCTGCTTAATCTCCCAGTCTCAGTTTCCTGACCTTTGAAATGGAGATAATGACATGAAATTACCCTACTTCAGAGTTGTTTGAGGATAGATTCATAGAAAGTGATTATAATAGTGCCTGAAACAAAGTAAGTACTCAGTAAATATTAGCTTATATTGGTTATTCATCAGTATCTTGTTAATTTGGTTAGCTTAAGTGATATTTGGGCCATTTACAAGATGATTTATGACATACAGAACTGATGACCATATCCTGGACATTGGTGACTTTACCACTTCAAGCCTTTTTTGGAAGAAGACCTAACAGCTGGCTTTCAGAATCGTGCCTCTCTATCTCACCATCCCCTTCAAATACAACAAGTTTTATTCCTTCTCCAGTTTTGCCTGTCTCTGTATATGTTTTTACATGTCCATGTTTTCATCTTAATATCTTGTAATAAATCTTTATTTATTTATTTATTTATTTATTTATTTATTTATTTTGAGGTGGAGTTTTGCTCTTGTTGCCCAGGTTGGAGTGCAATGGCATGATCTCAGCTCACTGCAACCTCCGCCTCCTGGGTTCAAGCGATTCTCCTGCCTCAGTCTCCCAAGTAGCTGGGATTACAGGCATGTGCCACCACACCCAGCTAATTATTTTTGCTATTTTTAGTAGAGACAGGTTTTCGCCATGTTGGCCAGGCTGGTCTTGAACTCCTGACCTCAGGTGATTCACCCACCTTGGCCTCCAAAAGTGCTGGGATTACAGGAGTGAGCCACCGCGCTCTGCCAAGAAATCTTTATTCTTAAAAAGGGAAGTGATGGGGGGAATATGATTCATGAAGATGATCTATCCCAGAATTTTGTGTTTATTTTGTTCTCAAACATTTTTATTAACCACTGCTTTGTACCTTACCCTGCACTAATTGCTAGGGATACACAGATTTTTGTTTTATCTTTTTCTTCAATTCCTACATTGAGCATCTACCATGCTCTAGAATCTACGTGAGTTCACATTGTATTGCAATATTTTTAAACTGTAAGTTTGGCCCACTAAAGGGTCATGCATGATATCAATTTAGTGTGTTGAAACCAAAATTAGAATAAAGAAATAGAATATAGTGTGGAATAGTAAATAACCAGAGTGTGTTGCATGTAGTAAGGTTCAGTACTGCTCTGTGAAATTTTTATTTTGGTATGTACTGGAGTTGTAAAAAAAAAATGTGTTTTTTTAATATATAGGTGTGGGTTAGTAAAGTAGTTTGAAAGCCACCAGTGGAAATGATAATAAGCAAAGAGGTAATTATAACAGTGTAATTAGGCCAGGTGCGGTGGCTCACGCCTGTAATCCCAGCACTTTGGGAGGCTGAGGCGGGTGGATCACCTGAGGTCAGGAGTGTGAGACCAGCCTGACCAACATGGAGAAACCCTCTCTCTGCTAAAAATACAAAATTACCTGGGTGTGGTGGCGCATGCCTGTAATCTCAGCTACTTGGGAGGCTGAGGCAGGAGAATCACTTGAACCTGGGAGGCAGAGGTTGCGGTGAGCCAAGATGGTGCCATTGCACTCCAGCCTAGGTGACAAAAGCGAAACTCCATCTCAAACAACAACAACAACAACAACAACAAAAGTGTGATAAATACTATGCATAGGATAGAGTTAGTGCTCAAAGGGAGGCTACCCTAAATGGGAAAACGGGGCTAGGGATTGTTTTCTGGAGGAGGAGCTTCTTCTTTTTTTTGAGACGGAGTCTTGCTCTTTCGCCCAGGCTAATTTTTGTATATTTTTTAAGAGACGGGGTTTCACCGTGTTGGCCAGGATGGTCTCAATCTCCTGACCTCATGATCCACCTGCCTCGGCCTCCCAAAGTGCTGGGATTACGGGAGTGAGCCACTGTGCCCGGTCAAGTTTGGATTTTATATTGAAGTCAGTAGAGAGCCAGTGAAGGATGGGCAAGTAACAAAATTCAATTTCTGTTTTAGATCAAACACTTGGTAGCACTGTGGAGAATGGATTTGAGGGTAGTGACAGGAGGCAGAAAGTAGAGAAGTGGAAACTGAGAGAGGAATTAGAAGGCACAATAAAGGCTATTATAATCAAAAGAAGAGCTTTTTTGGTTTGTTTATTTTTTTGAGACAGAGTCTTGCTCTGTCACCCAGGTTGGAGTACAGTGGCATGATCTCGGCTCACTGAAACCTCCGCCTCCCGGGTTCAAGTGATTCTCCTGCCTCAGCCTCCCAAGTAGCTGGGATTACAGGCGCCTGCCACCATACCCAGCTAATTTTTTGTATTTTTAGTAGAGACGGGCTTTCACCATGTTGCCCAGGCTGGTTTCGAATCCTGAGCTCAGGCAATCCACCCGCCTTGGCCTCCCAAAGTGCTGGGATTACATGTGTGAGCCACCATGCCCGGCCAAGAGAAGAGATTTAAAAAGCACTGAAGGGAATGGAAAATGCAGGACTGGGTGGCTATTTGAATGTGAGGAACAAGGGAGAGTCTGATACCTAGCTTTCTGACTCAAGCAACAAGGGCAATAGTAATGGCCTTCACTTAGGAAAGATAAGGGGACTAATTGGCTATCGGTAGAGAAACTGGCTAGGAATGATCAATAAACCATTTAATTAATACCCACATGACTAACAGCAGGCACTGAGATAAGTGTTAGGACTGAGGGTATGGATAAAGAAAGAAGGATACAATAATAAGACCTATTCTGGAAGGAATGCAGAAAAATGCTGAATTAAAGCAGAGGTGAGTTATTGTTTCCATGAAACCTTTTGTTTACCGTCCAGCTTAAACTGATTTTTTGTCTAAACCTCTCTTGCATAAATTTACCACACAATTAAGAATCCTCATATGTGCATTGTTACTTAATCGTTTTAGATGATTATGTTCCCTTCATATTTCCTGCTTACAGATATCAATAATAAGAAGGCACATATAGTATCTTGGAGATAGAGTAGAACTTCATAGCCATATAGAATTCCATATGATGAAGCATCCCACTCTCCCTGCAATGTTCTCTAGCATGTTTAAGTAAAGAAGGATTTGTCTCATCTACTGGGCAGTTGCTTCTCTGTGATCCATGCTCCTCATTACCATTCTGTTAAGTCTTGGCTTACACTCACTTAGCTGCTGTTATCCATGTAGAACCCTGAGCCTACTGTCTTTGATGAGATGATGTTGCTGCTATTGCCACATGGATCTCAGTGAGGGGGTTAGCACTTCACCGAGGAAGGTTATACTTCCTATTACTGTGATTTTTCTTCCATGCCATCAACACAACACTTGTTCGCAGATAGTGTTTTATGGAAGGGTTGGGGATGATTAGAGGAATTATAACTGTTGACTCCCTATTTTATTTCCTATCCTCACCCCAAACCATCCAGGCAAGTCCATCCACTCAGGGTGACAGAAGAGCAGAGTCAGGAGAGTGAGCAACAGCAACTGTTTCTTCTTCTTTTCAAGCAGTGATAGCGAGGCATAGTACAGGCAAGACTTCGTAGATCAGTTACTCCATGATTTATTGTCTATACTGGCTTGACTAGAGTCAAGAATTCCACAATTCTACCCACTTTCTCTCCTCAACTTGTCTCTTTTCACAAGATCTGTCTCTCCTTAAGGTCTAGCTATTTCATACTGTTTCTCCAAAACTTTCTAACTTAAACTTTCCAATTATCCTTCTGATTCGTACAATTTGATACTGATCAATATTACATTACTTCTCTAATGTAATTATTCAGGAGAAGTTTCTTCCTGGGCATATCCCAATTCCTAGCTTACTTGTCTGGTTGTCTGTAGACTTCTCTTCCTAAGTGAGTACAAACCTGTCCTCCCCTTTTTGGAAACCTCCTACTCAAAAGAGTTGGTGTTATCCTATGATTAATTCTCCTTCCCCCAACAGGGCAATCCAAGGACACAATGACCAATTGCAGGATCTTCCTCACCTACGTCTGAGTTTCTCAGTCTAGAATTACATCCTGGGTGCACTTCAGCAGAGGAGTTCCAAGTTAGGCTTTAGATTCCAAGTCTGGTTCTTTCCAAGGTAACTGTCAGTATGTTATGCAAATATACTTTCACATTCTTTTTCTAGTTTTCCTGTGGGTAACTATTAGACCGAACACACACATATACCCAAACATGCATGACCCCAAGGACATATAATTAGTGTCTGAATTGATGTTGAGGAAAACATTTTCTTTCTTGATGTAATATATATATAAACTATATGTATATATATAAACTGTATATATAAACTATATATATAAATAAACTACATATATAAACTATATATAAATTATATATATATAAACTATATATATATAAATTATATATATATAAACTATATATATATAAATTATATATATATAAACTATATATATATAAACTATATATATAAACTATATATATATATATATTTTGAGACAGAGTCTCATTCTGTCACGCAGGCTGGAGTGCAGTAGTGCAATCTCGGCTCACTGCAACCTTTGCCTTCTGGGTTCAAGCAGTTCTCCTTTCTCAGCCTCCCGAGTAGCTGGGATTATAGGTGGGCACCACCATGCCTGGCTAATTTTTGTATTTTTAGTAGAGATGGGGTTTCACCATGTTGGCCAGGCTGGTCTCGAACTCCTGGATTCAAGTGATCTGCCCACCTTGGCCTCCCAAAGTGCTGGGATTACAGGCATGAGCCACCACACCCAGCCTTCTCAATGCAATATAATTTTCACAGATTCCCCTCCCCATAAAAGAGGTATATTATTTGTCAAGCAGTTTCAGTTCTTTCTCCTCCTCTCCAACAATGCAGAGGCCTATTAGTGGTTAGGAAATAAGTCCCAGTACAATTTCTGACCAAACAACAGAATTACATACATGGATAGCCATTTTTAGAAACACAAAGACCAACACAAATTTTCCCTGACCTTTTATTATGAAAATTTTAGAATATTTAGAAAAGTTGCAACAATAATTTTTTTCAGTGAACTCCTGTATACACTCCCACAGTTAGAAATTACATACCTATTCATCCATTTCTCTATCCATCTGTAAATCTTTCTTATTTCTTTAATGCATTTCAAAGTAAATTTAAAATACTAGTATTCTCTCCCCTAAATATATCATTGGCTAGAGTTCAATATTTGCTCAGGTTGTTCTTCCTTTTGAAGGAAATTTACACACATTTGTAATTAAGTGTACAAAACTTATGTTTACATTCACTAAGTTCTGAAAAATGCATACACCTGTTATCTAAGCCCCTAGGCAAGGCATATACTACTATTATCACTTCACATAGTTCCCTTACTCCTCTTTCTGGTCAAGTCCTCTCTGGCAATCATGGCTCAAATTTTTTTTCACCAGTGATTTATTTTGCTGGTTCTAGAACTTTGTATAAACGGAATCATATGATATATGCTCTTTTGTACTATATGATTTATGCAAGGCTTCTTTCACTTAGCATCATGCTTTTGACACTTGTCCACGTTGTGTGTATCATTAGTTTACTCTATTTTATTTCTCAATAGTATTCCATTCTCCAAATATACCATAGTTTATCTATTCTTCTATTGATGGACACCTGGGTTATTTCCAGTTTTGGGCTTATTTCCAGTTTTGGGCTATTATGAATAAAGTGGCTGTGAACATTCTTGTACAGCTCTTTTAATAGACATATATTTTCATTTCTCTTGGTTAAATATTGGGAGATAGAATTGCTTGGTCATAGGTAGGTGTATGTTTAGTTTTACAAGAACCTGCTAGACTTTTTCTCAAAGTAATTATACCAGTTTACACGCCTACTGTAGTGAATAAGAACTCTGGTTGCTCCATATCCTTGCCAGCATCTGGTGTTTTCAGTCCTTAATTTTAGCTATTCTAGTAGATGTGTAGTGGTACCTTCTCACTGTGATTTAATTTGCATTTCCCTGATGACTAATGATGTTGTACACTTTTTCATGTGTTATTGACCATTTGTATACCTTATTTTGTGAAGTTCTGTTCCAGTCTTTTGCCAATTTTTAGGACTAGGTTGTTTATCATTGATGTCATTGAGATTTAGGATATATCCTGGATATTAGTCCTTTGTTGTGTATATGTTTTGCTAATATTCTCTCCCAGTTAATACCTTGCCTATTCATTTTCTTAATGCTATATTTTGAGGAAAAGACATTTTTATCTTTAGTGAAATCTAATTTATCAATTTCTTTTTCTTTTTTTTTTTTATTGATCATTCTTGGGTGTTTCTCGCAGAGGGGGATTTGGCAGGGTCATAGGACAATAGTGGAGGGAAGGTCAGCAGATAAACAAGTGAACAAAGGTCTCTGGTTTTCCTGGGCAGAGGACCCTGCGGCCTTCCGCAGTGTTTGTGTCCCTGGGTACTTGAGATGAGGGAGTGGTGATGACTCTTAACGAGCCTGCTGCCTTCAAGCATCTGTTTAACAAAGCACATCTTGCACCGCCCTTAATCCATTTAACCCTGAGTGGACACAGCACATGTTTCAGAGAGCACAGGGTTGGGGGTAAGGTCACAGATCAACAGGATCCCAAGGCAGAAGAATTTTTCTTAGTACAGAACAAAATGAAAAGTCTCCCATGTCTACCTCTTTCTACACAGACACGGCAACCATCCAATTTCTCAATCTTTTCCCCACCTTTCCCCCCTTTCTATTCCACAAAACCGCCATTGTCATCATGGCCCGTTCTCAATGAGCTGTTGGGTACACCTCCCAGACGGGGTGGTGGCCGGGCAGAGGGGCTCCTCACTTCCCAGTAGGGGCGGCCGGGCAGAGGCGCCCCTCACCTCCCGGACGGGGCGGCTGGCCGGGCAGGGGGCTGACCCCCCCCACCTCCCTCCCGGACGGGGCGGCTGGCCGGGCAGAGGGGCTCCTCACTTCCCAGTAGGGGCGGCCGGGAAGAGGCGCCCCTCACCTCCCGGACGGGGCGGCTGGCCGGGCGGGGGGCTGACCCCCCACCTCCCTCCCGGACGGGTCGGCTGGCCGGGCGGGGCGCTGACCCCCCCCACCTCCCTCCCGGACGGGGCGGCTGGCCGGGCAGGGGGCTGACCCCCCACCTCCCTCCCGGACGGGGTGGCGGCCGGGCGGAGACGCTCCTCACTTCCCAGACGGGGCGGCTACCGGGTGGAGGGGCTCCTCACTTCTCAGACAGGGCGGTTGCCAGGCAGAGGGTCTCCTCACTTCTCAGACGGGGCAGCCGGGCAGAGACGCTCCTCACCTCCCAGACGGGGTCGCGGCCGGGCAGAGGCGCTCCTCACATCCCAGACGGGGTGGCGGGGCAGAGGCGCTCCCCACATCTCAGACGACGGGCAGCCGGGCAGAGACGCTCTCCACCTCCCAGATGGGACGGCGGCCGGGAAGAGGCGTTCCCCACCTCCCGGACGGGATGGCGGCCGGGCAGAGACGCCCCTCACCCTCCAGACTGGGCAGCTAGGCAGAGGGGCTCCCCACATCCCAGACGATGGGCGGCCAGGCAGAGACGCTCTCCACCTCCCAGACGGGGTGGCGGCCGGGCAGAGGCTGCAATCTCGGCACTCTGGGAGGCCAAGGCAGGCGGCTGGGAGGTGGAGGTTGTAGCCAGCCAAGATCACGCCACTGCACTCCAGCCTGGGCACCATTGAGCACTGAGTGAACGAGACTCCGTCTGCAATCCCGGCACCTGGGGAGGCCGAGGCCGGCGGATCACTCGCGGCTAGGAACTGGAGACCAGCCCGGCCAACACAGCGAAACCCCGTCTCCACCAAAAAAATACGAAAACCAGTCAGGCGTGGCGGCGCGCACCTGCAATCGCAGGCACTCGGCAGGCTGAGGCAGGAGAATCAGGCAGGGAGGTTGCAGTGAGCCGAGATGGCAGCAGTACAGTCCAGCTTTGGCTCGGCATCAGAGGGAGACCGTGGAAAGAGAGGGAGAGGGAGACTGTGGGGAGAGGAAGAGGGAGAGGCAGAGGGAGAGGCAGAGGCAGAGGCAGAGGCAGAGGCAGAGGCAGAGGAATTTATCAATTTCTTAATGTATTGTTATTGCTTTTTAGGTTTTGATTAAGAAAACTTTACCTACCTCCAAGTTACAAAGATAGATCTATCTATTCTATATATATACATATATGTGTATATATATATGTTTTATATATATGTTATATATATATGTTTTATATATATATATATGTTATATATATATATATATATATATTAGAGACACAGGGTCTTACTGTGTTGCCAAGGCTGGGGTGCAGTGGCTGTTCACAGCCATGATCATCACTACAGCCTTGAACTCCTGGCCTCAAGTGATCCTCCTGCCTCAGCCTCTTGAGTAGCTAGGACTCCAAGCACATGTCATGGCACCTAGCCACAAAGATACTCTTTTATGTTTTCTACTAAAACCTTTGTTTATAAAGCTGTTGGGGGCAGCTTTATAACTTCAGCTTTTGCATTTAGGTCTATGATTCATCTCAAATCAAATTTAGTATATGGTGTGAGGTAGGGATTTAGGTTCATTAATTTTCCCACACTGATATCTAGTTATTCTAGCATCAATTGTTGAAAAGTTTCCTTGCCCCCACTGAATTGCTTTGGCAACTTTGTTAGAAATCAAATGACTTTGGCCAGGCAAGATAACTCACACCTGTAATCCCAGCACTTTGGGAGGCCAAGGCAGGAGGACTGCTTGAACCCAGGAGTTCAAGAACAGCCTGGTAACATAGAGAGACCCTTTCTCTACAAAAATTAAAAATTTAGCTGGGTATGGTGGTGCATGCCTATAATCCTAGCTACTCAGGAGGCTTCAGTCTGAGGACTGCTTGAACCCAGGAGGTCGGGGCTGCAGTGAGCCATGATCATGCCACTGCACTCCAGCCTGGGTGACAGAGTGAAATCCTGTCTTGAAGAAAAAAAAAAGGGAAAAGAAAGAAAAGAAAAAAACAAAGAAAGAGAGAGAAAGAAGAAGAAAGAAAAAAACAGAAAGAAAGAAAGAAAAAAGGAAGAAAGAAAGAAAAAAGAAAGAAAGAAAGAAAGAAAGAGGGAAAGAGCCAATGACTTTATAATTTTGGATCTATTTCTGGGCTCTCTATTCTGTTCCATTGATCTGTTTATCAATTCATATGCCGGCCAGCAGCACTATGCTGTAGCAATTTCTTAAGCTTTATAGTAAGTCTTGGAGCCAGGTAGTCTAAGTCCTCCAACTTTGTTCCTTCTCAAATTTGCTTTGGCTATTTTGGGACCTTTGCTTTTCTCCCACACAATTTTTAAAGTGACACTTTCTTCTTTACTTTGGATCAGGTCCAAAGTATTCTTCCTCATTGACCTCTAAGTAGAAGAGAAACAAAAAGCATCCAAATAAATCGACAGGGGTAGGGTAGGGGTGGGTAGCTGAGGGACCTGGCAGGATGTTTATTCTCCCAGTTATATATTTCTGACTGGAGTGAGAATATGTGGCAAGCCACACAGTCTTTACCCCATCATTACCTAAAGCTGCCTTGGGCACTGGCACAGGACAACAGGTTTCAATATCATTCTTTTCACATTATTCATTAAAAAATGAATAGTAAGCTGGGCGCTGTGGCTCATGCCTGTAATCCCAGCACTTTGGGAGGCCAAGGCAGGCAGATCACCTGAGGTCAGGAGTTTGAGACCAGCCTGACCAACATGGAGAAACCCCATCTCTACTAAAAATACAAAATTAGCCGGGCATTGTGGCAGCATATGCCTGTAATCCCAGCTACTTGGGAGGCTGAGGCAGGAGAATTGCTTGAACCCAGGAGGTGGAGGTTGCGGTGAACCAAGATCATGCCGTTGCACTCCAGCCTAGGCAACAAGAGTGAAACTACGTCTCAAAAAAAAAAAAAAGAAAAAAAAAAGAATGGTAGCACTTGCCTCGGTAAAATATTCTCTATACTTTGGGAACGATGCTATTTCTCTTATGTTTCCTGTAGCTGCAACGCAAGTTTTTTTGTTTTTTTTTGTTTTTTTTTGTTTTTTTTTTGAGACAGAGTCTTGCTCTGTCGCTCAGGCTGGAGTGCAGTGGTGTGGTCTTGGCTCACTGCAACCTCTGCCTTTTGGGTTCAAGGGATTCTTCTTCTTTTTTTTTTGAGACGGAGTTTTGCCCTTATTGCTCAGGCTGGAGTGCAATGGCATGATCTCGGCTCACCACAACCACCACCTCCCAGGTTCAAGCAATTCTCCTGCCTCAGCCTCCCGAGTAGCTGGGATTACAGGCATGAGCCTGTAATTTTTTTTTTTTTTTTTTTTAGTAGAGATGGAGTTTCTTCCTTGTTAGTCAGGCTGGTCTTGAACTCCCGACCTCAGGTGATCCACCCACCTCTGCCTCCCAAAGTGCTGGAATTACAGGCATAAGCCACTGTGCCTGGGCTTTTTTTTTTTTTTTTTTCCCAGAGACAGAGTCTCGCTCTGTTGCCCAGGCTGGAGTGCAGTGGCACAATCTCAGCTCACTTCAACCTCCACCTCCCGGGTTCTAGCAATTCTCCTGTCTCAGCCTCCCGAGTGGCTGGGACTACAGGTGCACACCACCACACCTGGCTAACTTTTTTGTATTTTAGTAGAGACAGGGTTCACTGTGTTGCCCAGGCTGGTCTTGAACTCCTGAGCTCAGGCAATCCACCCGCCTTGGCCTCCCAAAGCACTAGGATTACAAGTGTGAGCCACCGTGCCTGGCCTCAAGAGATTCTTCTGTCTCAGCCTCCTGAGTAGCTGGGACTACAGGTGCACGCCACCACACCCAGCTAATTTTTGTATTTTTGTAGAGAGGGGGTTTCACCATATTGGACAGGCTGGTCTTGAACTCCTGACCTTGTGATCCACCCGCCTTGGCCTCCCAAAGTGCTGGGATTACAGGTGTGAGCCACTGCACCCGGCTGCAACACATGTTTTACACAAACGCAAGGCACTCAATAAATGTTTATTAACTAAAATTTGGCTCCTTTTAAATCATGAAATTAGAGTGTTTGAAGAAGCATTAAAGCTCATCTAGTTCAATCCTCCATCTGATTATATAGTGTCCTACTAAATACCAGGTTATACATAATTAGTATAGTGATAGAGTACTCACAGCCATATATGTCTAGAGCAGCTCATTCCATGAATTCCTTCCAAAATTCACTGAAAAGAAAACTGTTTGTTATTGCTTCACCAAGGGAATAAAGAAGGCTGTGGTCCAAAAATAAGATCACCATCATCTCCACTGCATAATTTATAGGATTTAGAGTCAGGCTGTGAGGAAGACAGTTCAGGAAAAGACATAACTGCAGGAGTACAACTATTTCTTCTGATTTTTGATACCCCTCTCTTCCATTTCCACCAAAACGAGAATTTATTTCAATGACAGCAAATGTTCATATAGGGAGAATAGTTGTACAGTATAGAGAAGCCCTAAAGTGTGTCATTTATCTAGTGTCTAATTATAAGTGGCTTGGGCGAAACCCCATAGCTACTAAAAATACAAAATTAGCCAGGCATGGTGGCGTGCACCTGTAATCCCAGCTACTTGGGAGGCTGAGGCAGGAGAATTGCTTGAACCCAGGAGGCAGAGGTTGCAGTGAGCCAAGATGGCGCCACTGCACTCCAGCCTGGGCGATAGAGCGAGACTCCGTCTCAAAAAATTAAAAATGAAAACATACACAGGGTCGGGCGCGGTGGCTCACGCCTGTAATCCCAGCACTTTGGGAAGCCGAGGTGGGCGGATCACCAGAGGTCAGAAGTTTGAGACAAACCTGGCCAACATAGTGAAACCCTGTCTCTACTAAAAATACAAAAAATTAACTGGGCATTGCGGCGGGTGCCTGTAATCCCAGCTACTCGGGAGGCCAAGGCAAGAGAATCTCTTGAACCTGGGAGGTGGACGTTGCAGTGAGTCAAGATGGTGCCACTGCACTCCAGCCTGGGCGACAGAGCGAGACTCAGTCTCAACACACACACACACAGACACACATACACACAATACACATGTGATTGGGGTTGTGGAGAAGCATTGACCATCTGTAAGCCCCTAGAGGGTGGGGGCTATAGGTTATTTGCGTTTTTTACAAGCAGGACCATGTCAGGCATATAATGGATGCCCATACATGTTTGAATCAATATGTAGCCTAATACAGTGATATTGGCAAGACGGGTTTAGAAACATTGTTTTGGTTCAAGATAGAGTTACTGCTTCTTCTACTTCTTAGGTAGGGCTAGAAATCGAATGGAGAATTACTTTCTGTTCATGTATGGGCAAGCGATTCATTGCCAGCCCTGTCAAAGACACATAGAGTTTTTTTTCTCATTGCACACAGGATTTGGGTGATTAGGAAAGTGGAGCGAGTCTACTAATAAACCGTTGTAATAGCACGCAAAGCAAAAATAAATTCAGCGTATTCGTCCCATGCCAATTTAGGAGCATATTTCTCAAATTATGTTTACGTAGGTTTTCCCTAGAGTGAGTGGTTCCCAATCTTGTTTTGTCGGTATTTGCCATCAGTTGTCATTAATTCATTGTTATTAATGGGAAGTGCTCTTTGATCCGTCGGAACCTTGCTCAGTATAGGCCCCAAATGTTCCTTTAAGCCTCGGGGAAAACGACTTTGGCTGGTCGGTGCCCAAAGCCACACCCACTAAGAGGCCTTAGGAAACCTGGGGCTTTCCTGGCGGCGACCTAGCTGTGGCAACCACGCGGCGCGTCGGGATCCCATGGGTCGCGCTTGTTTTCCCCGTGGGAGGCGCGTCCCCCTCCTCCGCCCGGCCGGCCGGCCGGCCCTGGACCAGCTGCCTTTCTGGCCGGGACGCCGGGCCCCTTTCCGCACGCGGCGCGCCCCGAGTTCATTTGCATAGGGACGCGCGCGGCGCCGGCGAGAGGGAGGGCGGGCGCGGCCGGGAAGACGGCGCGCGCGCGCCCTGACAGCTCGGCCCTGCTCGCTCACTCGCTCGTCCCCGGCTTCCGAGCACAGCATGGCGGTCAAGGTGACTCCAACTCTCTGCTGCTGCTTTTATTGCATAAGAGACATTCCGAGCGCCCTGCCTGCAGCCCCCCACTGCTTCCCATTTTATTCATTGTCTAGGTCTTAGATAGCTTGTCCTGGGGCTCCGGCTTGCTGCGGGGAGAGCTGTGCGGGGCTTGGACCGGAGGAGGGGATGCCCGGCTGGGGGAGGGGAAGGAGGAGGGATTGTGAGTTGAAGGGGCTTGTACGGTAACACGGGTCAGTGAAGGAAGAGTAATGTCCTGTCCTAGGTGCATGGGATTGTGAGTCCGGAGTTGGAGGGCATCAGAAAGGGTGTGGGAGGAAGTGGCAAGTAAAGCTGGGGATACCTAGGGTATCAGTGAATTGCGGTGGGGGAGGGAGTAAGTATTGAGTAATTTGGGGCCTCAATAAGGCCGAGGGCAGTGGTTGGCTTTTGCGTTGCAGATTGCAGGGTATCGAAAGTATTTGTATTTGTGGCAGCTCTCATATTTTAGGTTGGATGGGGAGAGGGACGCGGAGATAATTACATGTTGGGTTTGCTTTTTATGGAGAAAGGCTGCTAGGCCAAGTGATTAATTTGGGTGATTTAACTTTCCTGTTGATCTACTCTTGTTAGCTTCTTGATTTGAAGGTGGGTGGTTACTACTGTGTTGCTAGTAGATGTGGAATAAAGTAAAAGATCCTCATTGCCTTCCCTTTCCAGTCCAGAGGAAGCACTGTCCGATAGCTTTGCTGTATCTTAGGCTATTCGCACCTGTTTTTCTGCCCTCTAGTCACAGTTATCCAGTTTGACAGTTCTTATCAGCAATTAGGGCTTTTAGTTTGTTTTAAACTAAATGATAAAAGATAGGAGCATTGATTGTTAGCCATGTGACCTCTAATCTGAAGAGATTGTGTGGTCTCTAGTGAAGCATTAACTGGCTTTTTTTTCTTTTTTGCTTACAGGTGCAGACAACTAAGCGAGGGGATCCTCATGAGTTAAGAAACATATTTCTACAGGTAAATTGGCTTGCATAGTGTGCCTTTCATTGCAAAAACAAAAAACGTACATGTCCTTAGTCCTATTCATGCCTTAACTTTGAGGAATGTTCAGTTTTCATGTATTCTTTCAAACATGACCGGACAATATAGCTTATACTTCTCTTAATAAGGTTTGATTTAAGGCCTTCTTTTAATTAAGGGTCGATAAAAGGTTTTCCTCAAGTTACTGCTTTTTTTTTTACATGACTTAAGATATATATTTTGAAAAAAAATTTCCAGCTTAAGCACAGAGACCAAGATAAAATTTCAAAATGTATTGGCATTCTTGTATAGTTAATAGGTATGATGACTAAAATTCTCTTCCTTGAAAGTTGCATGTTTACAAAGTTTTCCTACTTATGAGCTATCCTCCATGTAATTTGTTACAGAGATAAGAATATTATAGCTATTCTTAATTTGTGTGTCTTACTTACATTGTATCCTTAAGCCTTTGGGGATTTTACCCCAAAATGTTACCTCTTAAGATTCTTGCAATGGTCTACCTTAACTTCTAAGCTTTTAGAATCAGTGACTTGGCTGTAGACTTAAAAAGAAAAGAAAAAAGAAAAAAAAAAGGTTGGCTTAGTTTTTTGTTTTGCTTTCTTTTCTTAAATTTCAAAAGTTTCCTATGCAGGAAATTGTACTTAAGAAGTAGATGTAGGCCGGGCGCGGTGGCTCACGCCTGTAATTCCAGTATTTTGGGAGGCCGAGGCGGGTGGACCATGAGGTCAGGAGATCGAGACCATCCTGGCTAACACGGTGAAACCCCGTCTCTACTAAAAATACAAAAAATTAGCCGGGCGTGGTGGTGGGCGCCTGTAGTCCCAGCTACTCGGGAGGCTGAGGCAGGAGAATGGCGTTAACCCGGGAAGCGGAGCTTGCAGTGAGTCGAGATCGTGCCACTGCACTCCAGCCTGGGGACAGAGAGACACTGTCTCAAAAAAAAAAAAAAAGTAGATGTAAAGGGAGGCAAGCTAAGGTGTTTCACCAAATATTGCATTTCTCTCTGAAATCTTTTGAGAACTTTCTATTCTGGACCTGGGTTCTTATGAAGACACTTTGACCTTGGGCAGGTCCCTGCTGTGTATTATTTTCCTCTGTGAAATGAGAGGTGATCTCCAAGGTTCCTTCCCATTCCAAAAGTCTATGAGTCTATTTTAGGAACAGATTCTAACATATGCTGATGAGCCTGGAATAGATGACATTTTTATTTGAGATATGTGGTTTGCTTAAGCTATTGTTGGGTAAGACGCTGCGTAGTTGAGCATACATATGTGTAGTTTATGAAAAATAATTTGTGAAAATGGGAATCTTAAAGGTCATAATATCTGATAAGGGAAGTATTTTTTTCCAGAACAGAAGTAATTATAATAACAGAAATGGTCCATTTATGACTTGAAACCTTTATTCCTTGCAGGCATTCTTGAAAATAGCCAAAAATATATCGGTATTCACCATACCATGTGATTATAGTCAATTGTTTTGTGAAGAGTTCATGTGATATAGTTAATTTTATGTTCTAGACTAAGTAGATGCGGAAGAAATGAGTTGAAATGCTGCATGATGTAGTGAAAAGAATACTGCCTAGGTATCTGAGTACTGCCTAGGAATACGGAGTTAATTCCCAGCCCTGCATTTATCTGGTTCTTGTACCCTTAGGCTAATCATCTGGCCTTCCTGAGTTTCAGCTTCTCATGTGGGACTCAGTGGGACATAAAGGAATGGGAATTGAGGTCTTTCTAGCTTTAAAAATTCTATGGGAAAAAAATATACTGTGATTCTGTATGGATTTGTTTTTTGTTTTTGAGTGGGGGTAGAGGTGGGTTGGAGGTATGAGGAGAATGGCGAGGACTGTCCCTAGCTCTTTGACAACTTTTTTTTTTTTTTGAGATGGAGTCTCGCTCTGTCGCCCAGGCTGGAATGCACTGGCGTGATCTTGGCTCACTGCAACTTCTGCCTCCGGGGTTCAAGCAATTCTCTTGCCTCCGAGTAGCTGGGATTACAGGCATGTGCCACCACACCCGGCTAATTTTTTGTATTTTTAGTAGAGACAGGGTTTCACCATGTTAGCCAGGATGGTCTTGATCTCCTGACCTCGTGATCTGTGCGCCTCAGCCTCCCAAAGTGCTGGGATTACAGGCGTGAGCCACCATGCCTGGCCGATTCTTTGACAACTTTTAAATCTTAGCTTTTCATTTACTGTTTTGCATATCGTCATTATCTTTTTACACATTATTTTGATGATGCCTTTATTTTTATGTTGAAAATTTGTGGAATTCATAACTGCTTATTTAGCACTAAGTATGAAACATTGACACAAGCATTATTGATAGATAAGAGAGTGATAGAATGTAAATACTCACCTTCAGAAAGGCCTAACGCAGCAAGAAAGATAACAATATAGGCTGAGTGCAGTAGCTCACACCTGTAATCTCAGCACTTTGGGAGGCTGAGGCTAGAGGATCACTTGAGCCCAGGAGTTCAAGACCAACCTGAGCAATATAGTGAGACCTCGTCTCTGCAAAAAATTTTAAAAATTAGCCACACCTGGTGGCATCCATCTGTGGTCCCAGCTACTCAGGTGGCTGAGGTAGGAGGATTGCTTGATCCTAGGAGGCAGAGGTTGCAGTAAGCCAAGATCATACCACTGCACTCCAGCCTGGCAACAGAGCAAGACCTTGTTACACACACACACACACACACACAGACACACACGATACAGTATTGCTAGTTGGATCAATTTGAGGATAGTTACCAAGTAAAAGATTTTTATTCCTGGCTTGAATACTTCAAACTATAGTTATTTGAAGCTTTGCAGTACTGTTTAGAAACAGTTTTATGAAACAGTTTTATAGATGCATATAGTTGATTAATATTTTAGCTATAATAGAAGACAAAAATACATGCTAACCGTGTATTTCTTTAGCACTTAACATATTTACCCAACAAATATTTACAAAGGATTATTTGCTGTGTACCATGCACTTTTATTCAATACAATACTGTTCAGTAGCAGACACCAAGTCGAATATCAAGAGAGACAACAGAGCCAAGACCTAAATGCTGATGGACATGTGATTGGACTAGCTGCTCTCTCAGGCCCATGCCATCTCTCATGGTTTGTGGTTGAGGGAATCAAGAATAGTGAAGGCAAATGCATAGCCTGTGGTAGAGCAATCAGATTGGCTTCTTACATCATAGTGGCTGTGTAATAATATTGACAATGGCTAACATTTATTGATCATTTAGAGTGTGCTTGAGATTGGCCTAGTGCTTTAAGGATATTAATGTTAGTTTTCATAACAACTTTATGAAGCAGGTTTAATATCCTTGTTACATAGATGAGGTTAAATTAATGTCAGACTATGTGGTAGAGCCAGATTCAAATCAAATTCCAGAGCCCATACCCTTAACCCTTACATAATACTACTGGTAGGATATTGAAATGGGGTGACTTTTGAAAGACAGAGGTATATCGGGATAATGGCAGAGTGTTAAGAAGTTAAAAAAAAATCTGGTTACTTAGGTGATGAAATTTAAAAAGTTTCTTTACACTGTAACTGTCTAGAATAGTTAGCCAAGGAATTTGGATTTTAAACAGTAGGGAGCCACTGTGGGTTTCTGAGTAGGCAAATTGAAGTGGTGAATTCTGGCAGCTTTTTGTGTATGTTGGATAAAGTATGAAGAGATTGGAAGTAGCTTAGGTGATAAGCTGAGAGGCTACTGAAGTAATACTTTTGAGAATTAATGACCTAGAGTGGTTGATGGCTGGGGAAATGAAAAGCAAGGACAATACCAGCGATGTAAGGGAAGAATCTATCGAATTTGGTATTAAATATGGAAGTAAGGGAAGAAGTAGAAGTGAACCTGTCAGTTTTAGGATAGGTGTTAATTGATAAGGCATCTATTTGGATAATATTTTTTGGGGGGATGGGGTTAGTTTGGTTGCTAAACAAATGTATCTCACTAAGTTAAAGTTGGATTTGGACAGATACAAATTTGTGCAGGTGGTAGATGAATTCCTTGTATATAAAGCAAGGCAGAGGATCAGGGGCTGATTTATAAGTGATATCTCCAATTGAAGTAGGAAGGAGGAGGAGGGGAAATAGGGAGAATGGTCCCATGAAAGTTTAAAGTAGGAGTTTCACAAGAAGGATATAATTAAAGGTTAAAATGTAGATTATTCTGTTATTAGTATGATTTAGTTTGGGGAGGATTTTGGGGTCACTTGAGTTTAGAATTATCTGAGCTACTTAAAGACTATAAAGAGATGTAATTTTAAATTTTAGAGTACAGTTGAAAACTCTTTGTAAAATGTAGATCTGTGGCATTAACTGTTTAAGTTCACAAATAGTCAATAAAAATTCCTACTTTCAAATAAGAATATTTTGTTAAACTTTTGAGCCATGGGTCAAAAGTCATTTGTAAAACAATAAAATGGCCGGGTGTGGTGGCTCACACCTGTAATCCCAGCAATTTGGGAGGCTGAGGCGGGTGGATCACTTGAGGTCAGGAGTTTGAGACCAGCCTGGGCAACATGGTGAAACCCTGTCTCTATAAAAAATATAAAAAATTAGCCAGATGTGGTAGCGCACGCCTGTAATCTCAGCTACTAGGGAAGCTGAGGCAGGAGAATCGCTTGAACCCGGGAAGCGGGGGTTGCAGTGAGCCGAGATTGTGCCACTGCACTTCAGCCTGGGCGACAGAGCGAGACTCACTGTCTCAAAAAAAATAATAATTAAAAAAATATATATATATTTTTATTTGAAAGTACTGGTATATCAGCTGGGTGCGGCAGCTCATACCTGTAATCCCAGTGCTTTGCGAGGCTGAGGTGGGAGGATCACTTGAGGCCAGGAGTTCAAGACCAGCCTGGGCAACAAAGCGAGATTCCATGGCTACAAGTATATGTATATAGATTTAGCTGGGTGCGGTGGTACATGCCTGTGGTCCTAGCTGCTCTGGAAGCTGAGATGGGAGGATCACTTGAGCCCAGAAGTTCGAGGTTACAATGAGTTATCATTATACCACTGCACTCCAGCATGGGTGACAGAACAAGACTTTGTCTCCAAAAAAAAAAAAAAAAAGGAAAAAAGAAAAGAAAGTGGCAACTGACTTATTTATGTATCTATGTTTAGTGAAATTGTATGAGAATTGGTGTGGGAGTTCATAAGAAGGGCTTTATAAGAGTAAAGCATTATTATTTTGAATATAGGGAAATAGGTTCATTTTTCCTGTGGTGTTCATTGCTTCTCAAGTTTTGATGAGCTGTGTTTCTATTAGTTAAAAAACATCAACAACAACAGTATGCACTAAGATTCTGCCTTTTTCTGCCCACCTCCACTCTGCCAAGTTCATGAAATTGGAGTACAACAAATGAATTCTTATGTGTTAGGCTGTGCTGTAATTTTACAACTGGTTTAAGCTAAGATTTTACCATTACCACCCTTACAACTGTCATTTCTTGATTTATCCCTTTTTTCTTTTAACCTCTCTCACCCACACACTGTCATTGATTCAATTTAGCTACATCAGCAGTGTACAGTAGCAAAAGGAGACAATAGAAGCAGTGAAGAAGAAGGTGAGGTGGGACAGCAGGAACATAAGTCTGACAAATTTCTAAATGAAGAGTTAATTTTGTCTGTCCCTTGTGGCAAAGTAGATTTATCAAAAACATTTAAATGAATTATTTTTTAATCTCTCTCTCTTTTTAGTTAATAGGCTTCTTTTGTTTGCTGGTGTGTTGTATAGTAAAGGCAATATATGTTAAGACTGCAACTATATTTGCCAGATCAAAAATTTACTGAAATGTAGACCTCAAATATTATTTTAATTTTGTTCTTTTTTCATTATCACCAATGTAACAATGAAGATCGTATCCCATACAAAATTATGAAAATGTGCTTTTTTCCTGTCTTATTTTAGGTTAGAGAATAAAGAGGAGAAGATACTGTTAATGTAAAGCAAAGGGCGATTCCTCCTTAGGGTTTTTACAAGAACATTTATTTTTAATAGAAAGATATGTTCTTTTATTCAAATAGTTTATGTATTTTATTTACTTATTTTTGACAGTAGCCTGGAGCTGAGAAGGGAATAAAGCAGGGCTTTTAGCAGGAGACCCTTACTCTTTGTTGAAATATACATTAGGGCTGTGTTTCCAAAAGTGTGGAAGGTATACCACAATATTAGAGTAACAATAAGATTATCAAGTATTAAAGGGTGATACAGTATTTGTGGAAACAAAGACTCTGAAAAGCAAGCTGGCAATGGTTTAAAATAAAAAGAAAATATCATTTGAACAAACAATGGTATTTTCTTTTGGATTATTTATCCCAGAGAAATAAAAATATTTGTAAAAATATAAGAATATAGGGCAAGATGTGGTGGCTCATGCCTGTAATCCCAGCACTTTGGGAGGCCAAGGTGGGCGGATCACAAGGTCAGGAGATTGAGACCATCCTGGCTAACATGGTGAAACCCTGTCTCTACAAAAAATACAAAAAAATTAGCCGGGCATGGTGGCGGGTGCCTGTAGTCCCAGCTACTCGGGAGGCTGAGGCAGGAGAATGGCGTGAACCTGGGAGGCTGAGGTTGCAGTGAGCCGAGATCGCGCCACTGCACTCCAGCCTGGGCGACAGAGCGAAACTCTGTCTCAAAACAAAAAAAAAAGAATATATATGTACAAGGTTAACTGCAGCACTGAATTTTTCCTCAAAAAAGAAAAAAAAAAAAAACAGCCTAGGCAACGTGGCAAAACCCCATCTCTACAAAAAATACAAAAACCTAGCTGGGTGTGGTGGTGGCATGAGCCTATAGTCCCAGTTACTTGGGAGGCTGAGGTGGGAGGATCACCTAAGCCTAGGAGGTTGAGGCTGCAGTGAGCCATGTGCACCACTGCACTCCAGCCTGAGTGACAGAGTGAGACTCTGTCTCAAAAAAAAAAAAAAAAAAAAGCTATTATATTAAAGAGGAGTGGTAGAAGACTTATGGAATAACTATACTATGAAAGTTATGCAGATACTAAAAAGAATGAGTTAGGCCTAGACCACCAATTTAGAGAAATTTTGCAATGTACTATTAAGTGAGAAAGATGCAAATAAGTATATATAGCATGATTCTGATTTGTAAAACAAAGTCATTTCATGTATGTTTACATATAATATGTTTGTGTATGATTTAATGAGCACTGAGAAAGTTATGAAAGGATAAATACTAGGTTGTTAACTTGAGGGAAGAATAAAGAGGAAAATAAAAATAGTCTCAATGTATATGTATTAAGCTTTGAGCAAGTGAGTAATTTAAAAAGTAAGAATTTAGCAATTCAGAGCCTGAAGCTACAAGAGGATTTCCCAGCATAATTTGGATTGAATAAACCCAGTATGAGACACACAGAAAAGGATCTATAGTTTTATTAACCATGCTATTATAATTGAGGGTTTTCACCAGTTCCTCAGAAATATGGAAATTGAAGATGATAACCTATTTATTTATTTATTTATTTATTTATTGAGACAGAGTTTTACTGTGTTACCCAGACTGGAGTGCAGTGGCATGATCTTGGCTCACTGCAACCTCCGCCTCCCGGGTTCAAGCAATTCTCATGCCTCAGCTTCCTGAGTAGCTGGGATTACAGGCACATGCCTAGCTAATTTTTGTGTTTTTAGTAGAGACAGGGTTTCACCATCTTGGTCAGGCTGGTCTCGAACTCCTGACCTCAGGTGATCCACCTGCCTCAGCCTCCCAAAGTGTTGGGATTACAGGCATGAGCCACCATGCCCAGCCTTTTCTAAATACTTTAGAAAGTATTTAACATAAACTATATAGAGTTCTCATTAAAAAAAAAAAGAACAGTATTAGGCATTAAAGGCAGACTAGCAGGATAGTGAGACTTTGTCCTTGAATCAAGCAGAAGGATTGAAAAATAATAAAAAGATAAGAAAATTAGTGTTATTAAATGCCATGTGATGTTCTACTACCAATCAATACACTTTTTTTTTTTTTTTTGAGACGGAGTCTCTGGGCTCACTGCAAGCTCCGCCTCCCAGGTTCACGCCATTCTCCTGCCTCAGCCTCCCGAGTAGCTGGGACTACAGGCGCCCGCCACCACGCCCAGCTAATTTTTTGTATTTTTAGTAGAGACAGGGTTTCACCGTGTTAGCCAGGATGGTCTCAGTCTCCTGACTTTGTGATCCACCCTCCTCGGCCTCCCAAAGTGCTGGGATTATAGGCGTGAGCCACCGCACCTGGCCGATCAATACACTTTTAATTGCCTACTTTGTACCAGGCTAAGCACTGTACTAGGTTCTACCTTTATAGAGATAAGATAGAGCTGTTTAGTGAGGGTAGGGACAATACAAAGGACCTCAGTGAAGGTAGAACCTCACATTCTTTTTTTTTTTTGGTGGGGGACAGAGTTTTGCTCTTGTTGCCCAGGCTGGAGTGCAATGGCGCAGTCTCAGCTCACTGCAACCACTGCATCCCAGGTTCAAGCAATTCTCCTGCCTCAGCCTCCTGAGTAGCTGGGATTACAGATGTGCACCACCACACCTGGCTAAATTTTTTTTGTATTTTTAGTAGAGATGGGGGTATCATCATGTTGGCCAGGCTGGTCTCGAACTCCTGACCTCAGGTGATGTACCTGCCTCGGCCTCCCAAAGTGCTGGGATTACAGATGAGAGCCACCATCCGTGCCCAGCCTAGAACCTAACATTCTAGGGGCGAGGTGGACAATTAAAAAAGCCCACAGAGCAGACCACGAGGTCAGGAGTTCGAGACCAGCCTGGACAACAAGGTGAAACCCCGTCTCTACTAAAAATACAAAAATTAGCCAGGCGTGGTGGCGGGCGCCTGTAATCCCAGCTACTTGGGAGGCTGAGGTGGGAGAATTGCTTGAACCCAGGAGGCAGAGGTTGCAGTGAGCCGAGATCGTGTCATTGCACTCCAGCCTGGGCGACAGAGGAAGACTCAGTCTCGGGGGGAAAAAAAAAAAAGCCCACAGATTGGCTGGGCACACTGGCTCATTCCTGTAATCCCACCTCTTTGGGAGGCTGAAGCAGGAGGATCACTTGAGGCCACTAGTTTGAGACCAGCCTGGCCAAAAAAGTGAGATTCTGTCTCTACAAAAAAAAAAAAAAAGATAAAAAAGAAAAGAAATTAGCCAGGCATGGTGGCCTGTGCTTGTAGTCCTAGCTACTAGGAAGGCTGAGGAAGGAAGATCATGTGAGCCCAGGAGTCTGAGGTTACAGTGAGCTAGGGTCATGCTACTGCACTCCAGCCTGGGTGATAGAGTAAGACCCTGTCTCTTAAAACAAAACAAAAAACAAAACAAACAAAAAAAAGCTTACTACAGATTGTGACACGTCCAAGGAAGTAAACAGAATAATGAGAAGGGCCATCATTTTTTAAATCATTTTTCAAGAGAGTGGTCAGTGAAGGGCCCTTAGGAGGCAATATTAAGAGCTGAGAACTAAAAGGGAATGAGGGTGAAGTGGTGGAGGGAATTCCAAAGGGCTCACACGTACAAAGCTTAGATATAGAAAAGGGTTTGATGTGTTCAACAAACAGGCCAGTGTGCCTGAAGCATTGGTAATTAAGTATGGGGGTAAATGGCCTCCCAAAGTACTGGGATTACAGGCGTGAGCCACTACGCCTGGCCGATTCTTTCAATTTAATGTCCTCCTGTCTATAGAGTTCCTAGAACATCTTGAGCTGGATGAAACTCCTTTTCATCCAGAGGGCAGCAGAGTGTACCTGGAGCCTACATGGGATTTGTAGTCTAACCTGGGTTTGAATCCTCATTTGAAACCTTTTGAGCTCAGGTGTTTACTTTTGGAGCCTGTTTTCTCATCTGTCTAAGAAGGGATAATGACACCTAGCACATAGGGATGTTCTAAAGATTAAATAAAATAACATGTAAACTATGCAGAACCAAATAAAGCTTAGTTCCTTGTCTCTTTCCTTCTCTTCTAAGTTGAGATTAGGATGTTTTGTTTGTTTCTTGAATAAGATCTGAGTCCCTTGTCTTCTCCAGATGACTATGCTGGACCTAGTCAAGAGACTAAGATGTTAATATGTATTTATGATTATGTACATATAATCAGTTAATTACTTACATTCTTGAGACATCCATCTGAAGTTATTGACAAATACCGATTTCTCTCAAGTCTATGAGGTTCTAAGATGTTGTATAGTCACAGTCTAAGGCTGGGAGACCCGAGAGACCATGGAAGATGTTTGCAGAGTTTTCTTCTGAAACTTCATTCGCTCAGTCTGGACGTGTAAAAGAATAACGGTCCAGCCATAGGCTCTGAAATCCCAAGACACAGACTTGAAAAAATACATATTTTTTTTTTGTGCGTAACTTTCTTTTTTAAAATCACCACCTCCCTGTTCTGTGCAGATTTCTCTTACTTAGTACTGTGGAAATTTCTGAAAGCATCTTCCACTGAAACCATTGCTATGGCCAGCGTTGGGTTTCTAGAACTGGAAGAAACACACATTTTGAAAATATTAGTCAGTACTATTTCAGTCTTCAGTGACAGGAATTTTGGTTAAACATGCGTAGGCTTAGAATGTACTGGCTCTAGCCATGAGTGGATCAGGAGCTTAACTGCTGTCACCAGGGATCATGCACCTTTCATCTCTTAGTTTTGGTTTCTGTTGTGCTAGCTTCATTCTCAAACAGGCTTTGCCATGTGGAGCATCCCCAGATTAAAATCCTACCCATTCAGCAGAGAAAAGGTACTGTTTCTCCAATTTCTAGGTTAAGTCTAGGAATTATTGTCCTCCCTAATACCCCAAGAAAACCCATGTACTAGAAGGAGGCAGTGTTCTCATTGGCCAGATCTGGTTCACATGCTCACCTCTGGAACTGTTCAGTTGAGTCAGCCCCATTTGAATGACCTGTGTAAATTGAGGGTGAGGGAGGTGTGTATGTTCAAGAAAAATTAGCATGCAGTTACCAGAAGGGGGGAAGGAAAGCTAGGCACATTAAAACCAAGAACTGTTTATGTATAGCATATAAGGGATTGGAAAACCTGGAAGCCTAGGGGTGACTCAGGGAGGCTGGGAGACAGAGATGGCAAGAGATTCTGTGCCTCCAAGTCAACACTGCTGTATTTGGTAGCTTTCTAGAACATTCCAGTGCAGCTGTCATACTATCTGCAAAAATACCTTAAGTGAAATGACAAAAAATAACCAAAATTAGGACCCCTGAAGAAGAAATGTATCCTCACCTCATTTTTTCTTCAGAAAAATTTTTTCTCTCAGTCTTCTTTCTAGTCTTTTTCTTATGGTGGTCTTCCTCTCCCCATCTTCTTTTCTGTCCTTACCCTACCCCTCCCATCCCATGGCTCATTATTTTCAGCAGATCTGTTCAACACAGATTGCTATTGATTGTCCTACAAAGAGCCAGGTACTGTGCAAGGTGCTAGAGGTATGAGGATGAATAAGGTATCCCTGTTTTTAAAGGACTCATAGCCTAGAGCTGCTTAAATTACACATCCCTACATTAATACTTTTTTAAAAAAATAGAACATTCTGTATAAAGCTGAAGGCTTGAAGTCCTTCCTGAGCTCTACCCCAAAAGCCAATACTTCTGAAGGCTTGAAGTCCTTCCTGAGCTCTACCCCAAAAGCCAATAATTCCCTGCCACCTAAGAGGTAACCACTGTTCTTGGTCGTGTTTCTTTCTGATCTTTCCCCATACATTTACACAGAAAATATGGGGTTTTGGCCGGGCGCGATGGCCTGTAATCCTAGCACTTTGGGAGGCCGAGGCGGCTGGATCACCTGAGGTTAGGAGTTCAAGACCAGCCTGGCCCACATGGTGAAACCCCATCTCTACTAAAATACAAAAATTAGCCAGGCATGATGGCGGATGCCTGTAATCTCAACTGCTCGGGAGGCTGAGATGGGAGAATCGCTTGAACCTGGGAGATGGTGGTTGCAGTGAGCTGAGATCACACCACTCCACTCCAGCCTGGGTGGCTGAGTGAGACTCCGTCTCAACAACAACAACAACAACAACAAAAAAAGAAAATATGGGGTTTTGTGGTTTTAAAAAACATAAATAATAATAGCTAATGCTTACTGTGTCACTGTTATGTATCAGGCACTATTTTAAGTATTTTATATAAATCATCATATTTAATCCTCAGAACAACTCTATAAGGTAGGAACGATTAGTATTCCCATTTTACAGATGAGGAAACTAAGCCCCAGAAAGGTTAAGTAGCTTGTTCAAGGATATACAGTAAACGGAGGAGCTTTGCTTTATATATTTTAATACAATTCGCCTTTTTTACTTAATATTATTTGGAGATACAGGTATGTTAGTGTGTAAAGAATTGTTTCATTATTTTTCTGTAGCCCTTTAAATAACTTTGTTATGAAAAATTTCAAACATATACAAATCTAGAGAAAATAGAATAATGATGGATACCATGGATGACTAGAGGGAGAAAGGAAGGAGGGGAACAGGGTGGAAAAACTATTGGGAACTATGCAAACTCTCTGGCTGATGGGATCATTTGTACCCCAAACCTCAGCATCACACAGTATTCCCTTGTAACAAACCCACACATGTACCCTCTTAATCTAAAATATGAATTGAGGCTCATGCCTGTAATCCCAGCACTTTCGAAGGCTGAGGTGGGTGGCTCACTTGAGGTCAGGAGTTCGAGGCCAGCCTGGCCAACATGGTAAAACCCCGCCTCTACTAAAAATACAAAAATTAGCGTGGTGGTGCATGCCTGTAATCCCAGCTACTAGGGAGACTGAGGCAGGAGAATCACTTGAACCTGGGAGGTGGAGGTTGCAGTGAGCCAAGGTCACGCCACTGCACTCCAGCCTGGGTGACAGAGGGAGACTCCATCTCAAAAAAATAAAATATGATTTGAAATTATTTTTTAAAAAGTTTGTTGTAATTCTAACTGAATTAATAAACTTTAAAATTCATACAAAAAAAGAGAAAATGGTATAATGAATCACCATATATCTGTCATTCCAGTGTCACCAATTATCATGGCTAACCTTGCTTCATCTGTATTACAGCCACAGTGGCTTATTTTGAAGCAGTTCTCAGACATCATCTTGCAGTATCCATAAATAGTTCAGTATGTAGCTCCTAAAGATAAACACTCTGAAAAACTAACCAAATCATAACACCATTATCACACCTAAAAAAAGTCTTATCATCAATTTCTTTTGAGTGTCGAAGTTCTCTGATTGTTTCATATATTTTTAAGTAGCTTTGTTAAAAAGCAGGATCCAAGCTAGATTCATACATTGCATTTGGTTGATCTGTTTCTTAGATCTTTTAATACTTTCTGCACCCTGCTATGTTAAAGGTCCTTATTTCTCTTTGGTAAAAATCTTGGTATTTAATCAAGGCTTATCAACATTAAGGCATTCCATCCCCCTAGGAGCAGCACCTTGATTGTCAAAGCGACATGATTTGCCCAAGCTTATACATATATATGCTTCTTGTATGTTCCCATGGTTACTTAGACTAAGAGACTAAAGTATTTATTTAAGGAATGATGCAAATTAATTATTCAACTTAATCTGCCTTGGGAAGCATTCTAGTTCCAGTTATTGGGTTCTTTGGGTCATTATTTTATTTCCAAGGTTTTTGGTTATTTTGAGTGGAAAATTGTTTTGGTAGATCTTCTTTATTATGGTAGCTTCAATTGATTTCATTGATTAATAAGGGTCTTTACCTCCCTGCTGTGTTAGAAATTGCATCATTCAGTAGCTGACAGTAGGGCTTACTATAGTGGACAGTGAAAATATATTAAAACAACAACAAAAATAAGCACATAGTATTCATGGAAGCAATCTGAGTTAGGAAGACAGAGCACTGAATAATATTTTTTTAGCAAAATCAGTAAAAGGTTTTGTTTCTAGTATATCCAAAATATGCAACTGAAAGTGCTAATCAAAATTAGATTTATACAACTGCTTTTCCCTAATGCTCATGTAGTTGATTTGAGTAACATTGGAAAAATTTTACATTACTAATTAAAATCCTTGTTTTTAAAAATTAATATGGCTTAATAAAGTTGTTAAAAAATCAAACTGGCCATATGTATTTAAAATAATTTTTTTCTTATAAAGTATTATTTATGATAGAATGCTCTTTTATTCTAATTGAACTAACATAATAAGGCAAATTACACATTGTACTGTTTAACAGGGTTTGTGTGTCAGATCTGCTGTGGTCTTTGCTCCTTATGTAGAGTGCTTGTGTAGTGAAAGGGCATGCATTCCTGACTAAATTTGGCTTCTGTTGGAAGTAAGAGCCATAATAGTGAAGGACAGTAAGAGAACTAGCTTCATATACTCAGTACTTGCCTTAGTACATATTGTCCTCTTTTATTGTTCAAATAATTCATTTTTCTATGTGGGAAATGCTCTATGAGATATCTGTAGTTACTAAACTTCATGATATTGTCATTTGAATTACTGAAATTGAAAGGATGTTAAGATCTGAAAATGTCAGTTCATCTCAGTTGGAACAAAGTAATGGAGGAACAGTTTGTTTTGACTCATATTACAGCCACATGTTGGTTAGACAGAGATAAAGCTGCCTAGACCAGTCAGGACCGATCTCGTGGTAAGCCCAGGAATACTGGAAGCCAACCCAGGGAAACTCTGGCTTGGAGAGAGATGAAAGGTTAGAACAATAATTTCTTCATGTTTGGGCAAAAGCAGAAGAATTCACTAAGCAAGGAGGGAAATAGAGATCCTATGCTTTTCTGTTTCTAAGCATTTTACAGTAACTATTTCAAGTTATATTTTACAATTTTGAAGTACTTTGGTGTTCAAGGTGTCATTTTTGCCTCACAATAGGACAGCAATTTTTCTGCAAACCCTTGTTAAAGAAGAGACTCCAAGAATCTGCATGTTTTGCCCAAAAATTCTTGAGTTAATGGCACAGGAGTTTAGAACCCAAGTTTTCTGACCCAGTTTTAGTGTCCGTCGTGCCATCATCTCTGAGCTACTTGACAGCAGGCACTATGTCTTGTTGATCTCTGCATCCCCAGTACCAGGCACCAGGCATAGTGCCTGGTACACAGTTTCAAAATGAATGCAAAATAACCTGAAAGATTTGATCTCAGCAGATTTTTGGCTTAAAAAGCAGTGTTTCTAGATATATTGCCTTAGTTTTGATGTGCATACTTCAAAAATCCTTAATCTTGATACACCATATAATTTTTTAAAAGTAACCAGTTTTCTAGTCACAACACATCAGAATTTTTCTTTATAGTCTCTGGAATATCTTTTAGAGATATAAAACATCAAAGGATCTGTTTATGAACTTAAACTATTTAAACAAGTAATTTGTATCATTTAGAGTGTTTGGGCTTTATGCTCATTCAAATCATTGAATTTTAAGTTAACCTTTTTTTCTTAGTGGAAATTTAGGGTTGTGTGTCAGTCTTTGTAATGTGTAGTTAATATAATAATATAGGTTGCATACATCCTTTTTTTTTTTTTTTTTCCTGGGATGGAGTCTTCTTCTGGTCGCCCAGGCTGGAGTGCAGTGAGTGGCACGATCTCGGCTTACTGCAACCTCCGCCTCCTGGGTTCAAGTGATTCTCCTGCCTCCGCCTCTCGAGTAGCTGGGATTGAAGGCACCCACCATCAGGCCTGGCTAATTTTTGTATTTTTAGTAGAGATGGGGTTTCGCTATGTTGGCCAGGCTGGTCTCAAACTCCTGAGCTCGTGATCCACCCGCCTCGGCCTCCCAAAGTGCTGGGATTACAGGTGTGAGCCACCGTGCCCAGCCGGTTGCATACATCCTAAAGGTCACTTAAGGTTAAATTTGGTAAATTGCAAAGGAGTTATTGCTATCCAGTTTATTCCAGTCAGTTGAAGCCTTGGTATGTTGATCTGTTGGCTTGGTAGGCAAAACATTTTTAAATGGCATGATCTTCTCATTTGGAGCTAGAGATAGTTCAGTGTAATTATGATACACATCTGTATGTGAAACCCTGCCATCTTTTATAGACAATAATTTTGATTAAATGTATGAGGATTCTAATCTCATGAGATCTATTTTATTTCTTAAGCTTTAGAATGTTAAGGCTTTCCTGAGCACATGCTAACTATACTCAATGTAAATTTAAATATTTCTGGAAATGTCAAAGCTGTATGTTCTTTTACATTTCAAATACTTGAGTTGGGCTTGGAAAAAGTTTAATCAAGAAAATGGACCAGCTATTTCAGATACATTTCAGATACTGTCAGCTACTTTATGTCAATGTCTTCCATGTGTCCTTGACTTCTTGCCCCAGAGGGATATACAACTGCTTAAGAGATATCTTTGAAATGGCAAATGATAAACTCTAAAGTTACTTGGAGTATAGACATACTTGGGTAATTTCATCTAAAGTCATTTTAGTTCATCCTTTGAAAACACAGGAACAAAATGAAAATTATATTATGAAACTATTAAATTGCTTGCTATACTAAGTGTGTATGTGTGTGTGGGGGGGCAACCTAGTGGGACCCCCATCTTTACAAAAAAATAAAAACTGAAAAACTTAGCTGAGCATGGTGGCACGTACCTGTGGTCCCAGCTACTCAGGAGGCTGAGGTGGGAGGATCACTTGAGTCCCCCCCCCCGCCCAAAAAAAAAAAACCCAAACCCCTGATTTAAATATATCACCAATTTTTGAGGTACCAGCTTTTCTTTGTTAGCATAATACCTAAAATATTTTAGCATTTTTGACTGACTGTGGGTAGATAGATTCTAGTTTCAGATCTAAACTCCCTCTTTGGTTGTGTTGTTCAGGCAACAGGCTTACAGACATTGCCAAGTAATTGTCTCTAATTTAATGAGTTAATTAGTTAACTGTCTCCTGTAGAAGTCAAGTACTGACTTCTTATGGATGGGAGAAAACTTATGCTTTTTTCCTCTAAGCTATACACTCTATCTTTCAGTTAAAATTAAGTTAAAATAGAGTAGGAGAGCTGGAGAAAACACTGGCAAAATACCTCAGGGTAAGTGGTTCTTTGGCATCATTTATAACCCCAGATACTGGCAAAGCCTGTTTCAGTACATGTCAACTAAAGCATTTGTTTTCTTTGTTAGCCGCTGTGTCCTTTGTGGTTTGTGCTAAGGCTGCTCTATTTCCTGATAGTTTTAAAGTCAAGAATGTTGACATCTTGGCGATTCCATATATACAGTATACTTTAAAAATTTTTAAATGTTAGATTCAAAAGGCCCATGTGCAGGTTTCTTTTTTTTTTTTTTTTTTTTTTTGAGACAGAGTCTTGCGCTCGCCCAGGCTGTGGTGCAGTGGCGCAATCTTGGCTCACTGCAAGCTCCGCCGCCCGGGTTAACACCATTCTCTTGCCTCAGCCTCCCGAGTAGCGGGGACTACAGGCGCCCGCCACCACACCCAGCTAATTTTTTGTATTTTTAGTAGAGACGGGGTTTCACCATGTTAGCCAGGATGGTCTCGATCTCCTGACCTCGTGATCCACCCGTCTCCGCCTCCCAAAGTGCTGAGATTACAGGTGTGAGCCACCGCGCCCGGCCCCCATGTGCAGGTTTCTTACAAAGGTATGTTGTGTGATGCTGAGGTTTGGACTTCTGTTGATCCTGTCATCCAGATAGTGAACATGGTACCAAACAGGAATTTTTTCACCCCTTGCCCTTTCTCTCTCTCCCCGCTCTAATAGTCCCCAGTATCTATTGTTCCTGTCTTTATGTCCATGTGTACCTGTAACAGGTAGAGGGTCTTGACTGCAAGTTGTCCAGGTTCTTGGCATTTTGAACAGAGTTGGACAAAACGCCCAGCAAAGCAAGGAAAGAATGAAGCAATGAAAGAACGAAAGCAGGAATTTATTGAAAATGAAAGTACACTCCATAGTGTGGGAGCCAATGAGCAGCGGATTAAGGGCCTGGATACAGAAACTTCTCGCGTCCAAATACTTCCTAGAGGTTCCCCATTGGCCACTTGGTGCTTACCTCATGTAAATGAAGTGGTGGCCCGCAATTGGTCTGATTGGTTGCGGAAAGCAACCTATCAGAGGCTGAAGTGAAGTTATAAAGGTCACACTCCCGTACAAACATCTGATTGGTTGCAGAAAGCAACCAATCAGAGGCTAAGGGAAAGTTACAACGTTGTATTTCTATGCAAAGGAAGAGTCTGCCTGCAGTCGGTCTGATTGCGAACAGCCAATTTCCCATCTGCCGTGGAGAAAAGGGGGTTTGCGAAGGGAGTAGCCTCAGGTCCTTTTGTTACTTAGGTGTGGAAAGTTAGGGTTTTCCTTTCAATTTAGTTCTAGGAAGTTGGTGTGAAATGGCCTCCAGACCCTGTTCTCCTGCCTCATACCCAATATTTAATTCCCACTTTTAAAAGAGAACATGTGATATTTGATTTTCTGTTTCTGCATTAATTCTGCTTAGGATAATGGCCTCCAGCTGCATCCACATTGTTGCAAAGGACATGATTCCAGTCTTTTTTATGGCTGCATAGTATTCTATGAAGTAGATGCCATACAGAACGCTTGTATTGTGTGTTTGTGTTTTTTATTTAGTGGTTGTAGTCCTGGAGGTCAAATTCAGATATTAGAGAATAGACACCTCTGTGGCAAAAAGAACAATTGTTGCCAAATTTTCTTAATACAAAATCTCTGAAATGTTTTCATGTGCTCCCCCCTCTTTTATCATCTGTTAATGAAACAAAGAAGCAACACAAGCAGTTGTGAAGAGCGAGAACAAAGATCACCATAATCCCATTTCTAGTATTTTCTTTTTTCTTTTTTTAAATTTGAGATGGAGTTCTGCTCTTGTCACCCAGGCTGGAGTGCATTGGTGCAATCTCGGCTCACTGCAACCTCTGCCTCCCGGGTTCAAGAGGTTCTCTTGTCTCAGCATCCCGAGTAGCTGGGATTACAGGCACCTGCCACCACGCCCAACTAATTATTATTATTTTTTTGAGACAGAATTTTACTCTTGTTTCCCAGGCTGGAGTGTAATGGTGCGATCTCGGCTCACCGCAACCTCCGCCTCCCGGGTTCAAGCGACTCTCCTGCCTCAGCCTTCCGAGTAGCTGGGATTATAGGCATGCGCCACCACACCCGTCTAATTTTGTATTTTTAGTAGAGATGGGGTTTCTCCATGTTGGTCAGGCTGGTCTCGAACTCCCGGACCTCAGGTGATCCCCCTACCTCAGCCTCCCAAAGTGCTGGGATTACAGGCTTGAGCCACCGCGCCTGGCCAGGATTCGAGCATTTTTATGATTATATATAATGTATACTTGTGTGTATGTACCTATATATTGCTAAATTTCTTTTCAAAAGGACTGAATTCGACAAAAGCAAGATGTATAGGACGGTATAAATAGTATGCTATCATTTATATAAAAAGAAATGGTAAGAATTTCATATATACACACATATATTTGGATGTATATATATTAACATTATATATATAATTTACTTGTTTATGGATAAAACATCTCTAGAAGGATACATAAGAAATCGATTGCCTCTGGGGTGGGTAATTGAGTGATTGGGAACAGAAGTAGGAGGAAGACTTTCCACTGTATATTCTTTGGTACCTTCTGAATTTTGAATGGTATGAATGTAATACTATTAAAATAATAAAAAACCATTAGCAATAGGTAAAAGTACCCACTGTCTTCTTTTTCATGCCCAGTGTGTTGGTTCAGGCCTCAAGCTGTTTCACCTGTATCTTTTATTTATTTATTTTTTTGAGATGGAGTCTTGCTCTGTCGCACAGGCTGGAGTGCAGTGGTGCTATCTTGGGTCACTGCAACCTCCGCCTCCCAGGTTCAAGCAATTCTCTTGCCTCAGCCTCACCAGTAGTTGGGTCTACAGGTGCGTGCCACCACACCTAGCTAATTTTTTGTATTTTTAGTAGAGATGGGGTTTCACCGTGTTAGCCAGGATGGCCTCGATCTCCTGACCTCGTGATCTGCCTGCCTCAGCCTCCCAAAGTGCTGGGATTACAGGTGTGAGCCACTGCATCCGGCCCTCCCCTGTATCTTTGTAATAGCCACTTACCAGTCTCCCTGTTCGAAGTTAGTTCTTCTCTCCTTCACTCACCTTTTATGTTGCCATCAAGGATAGCACAGATCAGGTATGTCTCTCCTTTCTTCTTAAACTTTTAGTAGTATCCCACAGCTCGCAGAATAAAGTTCAGACTCTTCTGTTTAGCATTCAAAGTCTTCTACCATTTGGTTTCAAACTGCCTTTTCTACTACATGTATTAGTATACGCTCTCTTTATTACCATTTCTCTCTCCAACTAAGCCTTCTCCCAGAAAAGAAAAAAAAAGGGGGGGTATTTTTTGTTTCAACTTTGTTCACATTAGATTTTTGTGTTTTTGTTTTGTTTTGTTTTTGTTTTTAGCTTGAAATACCCATTCTCTCCACTTGCAATTGAAATTGGATTTAACTTTTAAGGTCCATTCCAAGTGTTGCCTTTCTCCCTCCATTCCCTGGCCCCATCCCACCAGTCCTAAGAATGAATCACTCCTTTTTGGTTCCCATAGTATATTTCTCATACCATTGTTTGCAACCCATATTCTAGTTACTGGTGGATGGAACTGGTAACAGGAACTAGTAATTGACTAGTAACTAACTTGTCAGTCTCCTTACATTCTGTTTTTAGACTTCCTTGTATCCATCCTTCTTTCCAGTTGCAGCGGTCTTCCTCATATTGTGCCTTTCCTCACTCCTGCCTATTCTTAACTCTAGTGGTTTTGTGATCTTGGTGGAACATGTCCAATTATCTCGTACATATTAAGAATGAGGAAGAAAAGCAATTGACAGGAATTGATGGAATCTACTTACTATTAGTGTAAATACCTTACAGTTTGCTTTTTCTTTATCCTATGTTTATATACTTATTGTTTTGAAACTTATTGTTTTCTTTATCCTGTGTTTATATATTTATTGTTTTGAAATTTCAAAGATTATTTTGTCTTCATTGTGTAAGTGTGTGAAATATCTAGAGGCCTGGGAGGACAATAAACTTGTCTAGGGACTCACAAAGGGTTAGTGGTAGAGCCAAGGTTTAAACCCAAAACCCCTTCAAGAATGGCTTTTATAGTCATGTATAGAGAACATGACTTTATTTTGGGGTGATATTTCTTGAATGCTTTTGGTAGCACCAATTAGTTAAAAAAAAAGTCCATATTGGGCTACGTCTTTTACTTTTGTTCTATAGCACAAGTCATCAAGCAACCCCTGGGCTACTTTTTTTTTTTTTTTTTTTTTTTTGAGACAGGGTCTTGCTCTGTCTCCCAAGCTGGAGTGCAGTGGTGCAATCTTGGCTCATTGCAACCTCCGCCTCCCAGGTTCAAGTGATTCTCCCACCTCTCAAATGCTTTGAATGCTAAACAGAAGAGTCTGAACTTTATTCTGCAAGCCATGGAACAATACTAAAAGTTTTAGAAGAAAGGAGAGACATAATCTGATCTGTGCTATTCCTGATGGCAACATGGAAGGTGAGTGGAGGAGAGAGGAACTAACTTGGGACAGGGAAACTAGGAAGTCGCTATTACAAAGATACAGGTGAGGGCCCGGCACGGTGGCTCACACCTGTAATCCCGGCACTTTGGGAGGCCGAGGCAGGTGGATCACGAGGTCAGGAGATCGAGACCATCCTGGCCTAACACGGTGAAACCCGTCTCTACTAAAAATACAAATTCAAGTGATTCTCCCATTCCTCTCAGTCTCCCAGGTAGATGTGACTAAAGGCGCATGCCACCATGCTTGGATAATTTTTGTATTTTTAGTAGAGATGGCATTTCACCATGTTGTTCAGGCTGGCCTCGAACTCTTGACTTCAAGTGATCTGGCCGCCTTGGCATCCCAAAGTGTTGGGATTACAGGCGTGAGCCACTGCGCCCGGCCACTGGGTTACTTCTTATGCAGGCTGATATAGCACTTGTGGTGGTAGTCTCTGTGGCTTTTTTTGTTTGTTTTTTGTTCTTTTGGACAGGGTCTTGCTCTGTCACTCAGACTGGAGTGTGGTGGCACAATCATGGCTCACTGTAGTCTCGACCTCCCAAGTTCCAGTGATCCTCCCTCCTCAGCATCCTGCATAGCTGGGAGTACAGGTGTGCACCACCATGCCCAGCTACTTTTCTAATTTTTTGTAGAGACCTGGTCTCTCCATGTTGCCCAGGCTGGAACTCCTGAGCTCAAGGGATCCTCCTGCCTTGGCCTCCCAAAGTACTGGGATTACAGGTGTGAGCCACTGTGCCTGGCCTAACTCTTTTCTTATTGAAAGAACAGGTGGCTTTGTTTAGTCAGATCCACAAATGGAGATGTTTGCAACACTTGACTAGAAAGCAAACCAACAATCATTTGCCCTGATTCTTCTTCCCTGTCTTGTTTCCTAGAAGCAACCACTTGTAACTCTTTTAGCTATTTCATTTGGTATTTCCCTTCACATTTCTATATTGATATTTCTAGACATTTTTGACTTTCTGTAATAGTAGCTGAGGTCTTAGCTTCCTTGTACTACTTCCTCTCACATTCCTGTCAGTATATTTATAATTTTATTTTTTTTTGAAACAGGGTCTTGCTCTGTTGCCCAGGCTGGAGTACAGTGGCATGATCACTGCTCACTGCAACCTCCACCTCCTAGGCTCAAGCAATCCTCCCAGCTCAGCCTCCTGAGTAGTTAGGACTATAGGCACGTGACATCATGCCCAGCTAATTTGTGTATTTTTGTAGAGATGGGGTTTTGCCATGTTGCCCAGGCTGGTCTTGAACTCCTGGGCTCAAGCAGTTGCCCGCCTTGGCCTCCCCAAGTGCTGGAATTACAGGTGTGAGCCACTGCACCTGTCCTATTTATAATTTTTATTAAATTAATATTTGATGTCTATATTATTATGACTATAAATACTGTTTATTTTGAGCCAAGTCATGGATTATGATATTTTCTATTTTTGTACAATTAAAGTAATTTCTCATAGTTAAAAATTACCAAACTTTTGATTTGCCTAGTTATTTGTGTACCTATTACCAATTCATTCATTTGCCAAATATTTACTGAGTGCCTACTATAAGCCAGGCATCATTCTTGGTGTTTGGGATATATTAGTAAACAAATTAGACAAAGATTCTTTCCCTTGTGACACATTCTAATTGGGAGATAGACAATAAACATAAGAAGTAGAATATAAAGTATGTTAGAAAGAGGTGCTGAGGGAAAAAAAAGCAGGACTGTTGAGGAGCATGATGCCCTTAATTCATGATTCTTTATATGTGACCTGGTTTTTCTCTCTGAAAACTTGTAGAATTTTCACTTCATTTGGATGTTCTGCAATTTAACGATGATGGGCCAGGCCCTAGTGTAGATGTTCGCTTTAATTTTTCATGCTTGACATTTTGTGAGCCCTTGTATTCTTCAGTTCTGATCTTACTGCTTTGTTGGTTGACTGAAGTAACAATCAATCTGATGCAACTCAAGGAGAAGGGCTTTGGTTGTTCATGTTTGGTCATCCCATAGTATATAAAGCCCTTAAATTAATGAGTTTCTTTGATACAGGTATTATTATTATTTTATTTAAAAAAATTATTGATGTAAAAAATTACTGATGTCAAAGAATATTTTAATTTATTTCCTATTTCTGGCTACTGGAACTTGGAATGATGAGAGGTCTTGTTTGTTATTCTTTTCTCATTCATTTCACTTCTAAGGTTTGGCAGATTACATGTCTCCCTGGTGCTCTTGTAGACAGGAAGCCTCTGGGAGTCACTTTCAGGTCCTGGCTGCCC